>NC_000002.12:58372170-58675200 GCF_000001405.40 Homo sapiens
AGCAATATAATGAACTTTGTGTCGCCATCATTTATACTCAAAAATTACCAAGACTTTGACACATTTGCTTCATTTTCCTTTCCTCTATTGAATTGCTAGAAAACACACCCCAAACATCATGTCATTTCGCTGCTACACATTTAGATACTTTATTTCTAAATAAATATGGACATTTTCTTTTACAATTATAATGTCATTATCAACCATAATAAAATTAACAATTACTCCTTAATATAATCTGATACCCAGTACTGTAATCAAATTTCTCCCAATTATCTCAAAAAGATTATAATTATTTTGTTTGAATCAGGATCTAAACAAGGTCCACACAAGACAATTTCCTGATAAGTCTCTGAAGCCTCTCATAATCAAAAGCATTTATTCCTAGCTTCTGTTCCCTCCTTTTTCTTCTCTCTGCCTCTGACTTGCTAAAGAAACTGGGTCAATTGATTTGAAGAATATCCCACAATCTGGATTTGTCTGTTTGCTTTCTTGTGGTATCATTTTGATTGTTCTTTTTCCTGTTGTATTTGCTGTACATAGGGATTACCTTTAGATGCTTGTTTAGATTCAAGTTCAGCATTTTATAGCAAATAATTTATAGGTGATCCTATGTGCTTCAAACTACATCAAATCAGCAGGCCCATAATGTCTTAAGTCCTATTTTTAGTGCTGCTAAGATTGATCAATGGGTGTCAAGTATTGACAGCCTGACCTCTCCATCAACTGTTCACCGAATGGTTCATCCATGTTGGGTTTTGCCTAAATCACTTTACATCATTAGAGTTTGAAAACTGAATTTCTAATTCTATTATCCATTGCAAATTTCTGGAGTTTATTTATAAACAGGTACTTTTCCTCCCTCATCAGCAGGGCTATTTGGGTAGCCTGCAATGTCGTTTATACAGGAAAGGCAGAACAAATGCTTACCTCTTTCCTTTTAATTGACAGTTTTGAAAGTAAGGCATTGGTATTTAGTTACTTTAAATGGTATCCAATGAGATATCATCTCCACCCTCTCACTTTCGAGTTCTCTATTTTTCTCCACCTCTGTCTCTTCTAAAGGACCATTTTGAATTCATAAGACAGTACTTAACTGTTTTAACCAATTGCATCATTATTTTTGATGCTCAAATTGTTTCATCTTTGGTCAGTTGGAAGTCTTTCATGTTGTCCACTGGGTCCTTGGATGGAGACCTTGCCTTCCAATCCATCAAGATTTTTCAGGCTCATATTGTATAATTCCTCCCCCTGATGTGTAATTTTTTCCGTGAAACTGTTACCAAAATATCAAGGGAGTGGTCTAGGTCCTGTTGCTCATTGCCCAAAAAGCCTATCACTGAGAAAACGAGTATTGCTAGGGAAGAAGGCTTTATTTGGATGCGGAAGCTGTGGAGACAGGAGATAAGTCTCAAATCCATCTCCTCAATTGACTCCATTTGGGGCATTATGTAGTGGGGACAGATGTAGCTATGTGTGGGAAAACAGGAATTCGAAAGGGGTAAGAAAGGGGAGTTTCAGTTCCTTGATACCCCCTGGGAAGCCTGAGGGTCAGTTTCCTGAGGAAGGAACTCAGATAAGACTCAAGCATTAACACTGAGAGGGTCAATTTCTATGTTTATCCAAAAACCATCTATGGGACAACTGGGCTGGTTGCAAAACCCTGATCACTTTTAGTGGAGATTGGTATTAAACTTTTACAAACTGGCCCTGCATATACTCACCGTAATCGTAAGCTCTGCGTTCACAGGTATCAAACAAAAGTAACTGATTTACCTTAAAGCTAGAAACATTCATACTGGACTGAATGGCTTAAACAATAGAAATTCACTTTTTTACAGTTCTGGAAGCTAGAAGTCCAAGATCAAGGTTCCAGCAAGGCTGGTCTCTGATGAGGCCTCTCTTCCTGCCTTGCAGATAGATGCCCACCTTCCTGCTGTGACCTCACAAGGTTTTCCCTCTGTGTGCACACTGACAGAGAGAGGACGCTGGCATCTTGTGCCTTCTTATAAGGACACCAGTCCTATTGAATTAGAACCGCACCCTTATGACCTCATTTAACCTAATTACCTCCTTAAAGGCTCTATTTAAATATTGTCACGTTGAGAGTTAGGCCTTCTATATGTGAACTTAGAAAATGGGGCACAATTTAGTTCGTAATACTCATTTTTTTATAGATTGTTATTGCTTCTAGGCTTTTTCAGTGGACAAAGCTAAGAAGAATTTATTTGGAAAAAAAACTTGGTTATGTAAATCTATGTTGCCTTTTCTAATTTAAATGTAAATTAAATGATAGGGTTTTAACCTAATTTCTTGGATTTCATTTTTGTTTCTTTTTCCTTTAGTTTGAAAATCTTGGTTCCTAACAGTTATAACAATTACTCGTTTGCATCATTCTATCATATACATAAAATAATTTCAAAATAATAATACCAATATTACTACTACTACTAAATAAGATGAACATTTCTTTGAAGCTCTATTTGTCTTAGGATATATTTCAATAAGGGCATACAGTCTTGTGAGGTCACAGCAGGAAGGTGGGCATCTATCTGCAAGTGAATTTAAATAAACTATTTTCTGTGTGTGGTTTTGTTAACAGTTGGTAGGCACTTTGGATAAATACTTTTGTTAGTTTATTATTTGAGGTTTTTGTTTTTTTTTTTTCCAGACAGGTCTCCCTCTGTCACCCAGGCTGGAGTGCAGTAGCGTGATCTTGGCTCACTGCAGCCTCTGCCTCCCGGACTCAAGCAATGCTCACACCTCAGCCTCCTGAGTAGCTGGGACTACAGGTGCACGCCACCACTCCAGGCTAATTCTTGTATGTTTTTTGTAGAGACAGAGTTTCGCCATGTTGCCCAGGCTGGTCTCCAACTCCTAGACTCAAGCAATCTGCCTGCCTCAACCTCTCAAACTGGAAGATCAAAGGCATGAGTCACTGCACGTAGCCCAGAATTTATTTCTTAATTATTTTTTTGAGAAGGAAAAACACTTGTATTTCCAAAATCAAAATTACATAACATGGAATATTCAGAGAAGTCTTACCTTTATTCCTGTTTCCTCTACCATATTTCCCCTCTTCTCTTCTAGATAAATATTTTTTTTAAGTTGACATTTTATTTATCCTTCCTTGGTTTATTTTTACTAGGCTAGCAGGATTGTTTTAACAATGACAATCTCAGCTCTGTATCTTTTTATTTTTTTGTTTGTACATAGTCCGCTTCTGTGCCTTTTATTTTTGCGTTCAACATATTCTAATGAAATCTGTCCTGGTTTTATGTTAAAACTTTTCTTAACATGTTCATTTTGAATATTATTTATTTTCAAAGTACAAGCAAACTTCAAAAATATAAAAAATGTAAAAGGTTTGGTCTCTAACTGAATAGAATATCATCTAAGACCTATTCACTGATGTTTTACTAGTTACAATAAATCACTCACACTTTCAGGTGAGAAAATATAGCAATTTTTAAAAAACAGACAAAATCTTAATCAGGGAACTGGGGCTTCTAGTTAAAGTAGACAGATGATGAACAAGTACCTAAATAATATATAAAATGAATATGCAACATGCAAGTCATATCCATTTCCCAGGGCTGTCACAACAAAGGACCACAAATTGAGTGGATGAAAACAACAGAAATTTATTCCCTCACAGTTCTAGAGGCTAACAGTCTGAAATCAAGGTGACAGCCAGGCCATGCTTTCTTGGAAGCCTCTAGGGGAGGGTCCTTCCTGGCCTCTTCCAGCTTATGGTAGCCCCAAGTGTTCCTTGCCTTGTGGCAGCCTAACTCCAATCTCTGCCTCCATTTGCTTATGGCATTCGCCCTGTGTGTCTCTCTGTGTCTGCATATGGCTATTTTCTTAGAAGGACATCAGTCATATTGGATTAGGAGCCCACCCCTACTCCAGTAGGACCTCATCTCAACTAATAACATTGGAAATGACACTATTTCCAAATAAGGCCACATTCTCCAGTCCTGAGGGTTAGGATTTCAACATGTATTTTTTTGAGGGAACACAACCTAATCTACAACATTAGGTATTGGTAAATATTACAAAGAAAACAAAGTAGAACAAGGAGGATAAAGAAGACACGGCAGTAGTATTGAAGGAACATGAGATGTGATGAAATTTTGAGCATTTTTTTAAGATAACATTTTTCAGAAATCATGGATAGATATGACATATTATCAAGGATTATTCCAGGTTTTTTGTCTAAGTCACTGGAAGAATAAAGGCACCATTTGCTGGGTAAAAATTAAAAAGTAAAAGTTTTGAGGGAGTAATTAAGACTTGAGGTTTTGATCAATTTTAAGATGCCGGTTGGACACACAAATGGAGATGACAAATAAGCAGTTGGGTATACAAATAAAGACTCTAGAGGAGTGGCTCGGACAGGAAATATAAATTTGGGGGTCATCAGTGACAAATTATATTAAAAGCCATGAGACTGTATAAGATCATACAGAGACTGAGAATGATTAGTGACTTGGCTTTTAGTAGAACCAAAGTTTGGAGATTGGAAAAATAAAGAGGCACTTGCATCGAAAACTGAGAAACATTGGCCTGTGACTTAGAAAAAGTCTCAAATGACTAAGTCTCAAATGACTAAGTCTGAGTCTCAAATGACTAAGTCTTTCAAGAACAACAGATCCTGATAGATCAAATACAGTGAGGATGTTATTAACCATTGGATATGGCAATGTGAAGGTCATTTGTGATCTTGACAAGAGCTGCTGATAAGAGTGGTAGGACAAAATCCTGACTATAATAGGTTCACAAGGGAATGGATAGAGAAGGATTGGCCATACTGCACACAGGTGAATCTCCTGGGGTGAAATTTGCTAAGAAAGGAAGCAAGAGAAAAAACCTGGAGTGAAAGTTGGATTCAAAGGGTTACTTTTTGGATGACCAGTAGAGAAGGAAAAAACAATGATACAGGAGACAGAGGAGACAGTTGCAGACGCAATTGAGTAAATATGAGGGAACTGGATCTAGGGGGGCATTGGCCTTAGTTTGAAGCTACAACTTCTACCTACAGTTTATTTCTAGTAACAACAGGAAAGCGAGGATATCAATGTGGATTGAGTTGTGCATAAATTTGCTGTTTTGCTGCTGGAAGCATATGAATTGTTTGTTATCTCAAAGACATAAGAAGCAGTGTCATCAACTGAAAGGGAGTCCTCCAAATTAAGGCCAAGATGAAGATTTCATCATGCACAATTACTCACTTTATAATAGCATAACAAAGACTTACTTTATCATGTATCACTTGTTTTCTATACTCATCATACACAAATCTATACTGTAATATTTTTTAAGACTCTGGAATTTTCCACTATGAAAGTGTATTTCTGAGTTTCCTTAAGGAAATAAGAAAAGCATTGTAATTGGGATGATTTACTTTATTATATAAACTTTAAATGGTGTTTTATGGGATTTAAAAAAGAAAATGCTCATTATAGATATGACGGTCTATAAGCCAAACTTTTATAAAACTTTCATAATTTCTGCAACCATAAAAGTGATCTATTTCAAAATTAGACAGCCTCACTCATTTCTACTCATTTGGGTAAAAATTTGTCAAGCAACTGAATAAAGCACAAAAGATAAGAAACAAACAATGGGAAATAATTTATTTCACTTACTGAATTAGTTAATAGAAGAAAACAAAGAAGATTATTTAAACAAAATTTTCCTTTAAGGTAGTACCAGTAAGATATCTAGTGGTAGATGAAGAGAAAAGCCCATAATATACCCAAAAGAGGTGGTGTTTGTTTTATTATTTTCAGCAACAAATATATAAACTAAAATTTATCAAAACAATGCTCTTGACAGAAGCATCTAAGCTTGAATGTTTTCTAAAAAAAATTTCAAAGAACTTATTATGTTTAAAATTAATTTTTAAAAATTTGCATTGTGTCTATATTAATATTTGAATGTCAATGCTTTGTGGCCTCCTGTGTCCATTTGTGTGTGTGTGTGTGTGTGTGTGTGTCCATGTGTCTGTGTGTATGCTCAAAAAGAGATAGGAGAGTAGAAAGTTAAAAGTTTATTGTTGGAAAAATTCATTGTTTGGAAGGGTTTACAGTCTGGTTGCAGAGAACATACATAGAAGAGAATAACACACAGATGTTATGTAAATGAAGATAATTTAAAACACATACAAGTGGAAGCTGACACAGTAACATGAGCTCCTAAGTGCCTGACAGTAGAGTAAGGACTTTTGAATGCCAATGGAGGAGAGTACATAGAAGTTAGTTGTAATAAGAACCCGGGTATGGCTTTCTCGGCAACATTTAAAATCGCGAATCGCTCCTTTTTTGGTATTCTGTCTTTCTTAGATTTCAAGATACTATTATTTTCTAAATTTTATGCTTTCTGTTTTTCTTGGCTTCTTTGGCCAGCTCTCCTTTCTCCCAGGAAGCAAGATTCAATATTAATTCTCTTCTTTGGCAACCACAATAGATAACCAGCACTGTTATATTAATCATTGTTCCAAATACATTTTATTGCTTAAATCTCACAATATCCTATGAGGTAGAGATTATTATTACTGTCATCTGGCAATGAGGAAACTGAAATAAAATTACTTGCCCAAGTAATTTGCCCAATATCTTTTCAAAGTTTCTGTGCCCTTCATTTTTAGCATGAAGTCTATTTCTTACATTTAAAATATAACTTTTTTTTCCTAAATACAGAAGTAATTCACGAGGGTCCGTATTAGTGAGAGTTCTCCAGAGAAACAAAACCAATAGGATGATTTATTATTAGGAATTGGCTCATACAATTTTGGAGGCTGAGAAGTGCCAAGACCTGCTGTCAGCAAGCTTGGAGGCCCAGGAAAGCTGACGGTATAGTTCCAGTGCAAGTACAAGACAGAAGACAGGGGAAGACCAATATCCCAGCTTGAAGGCACTCAGGCAGAAAGAGGGGGAATTCTCTCTTGCTCAGTCTTTGTATTCTATAGTAGTCCCCCCGCTTATCTGTAGTTTCTGTTACTCAAAGTCAACCGTCATCTGAAAATATTAAATGAAAAATTCCAGAAATAAACAATTTATACCTTTTAAATTGTGTACCATTCTGAGTAGCAACATGAAATCTCACATATACTCTCTGTGTCTTACCTGGGATATGAGTCATCCCTTCATCCAGTGTACCATGCTGTATATAGAACACACCCGTTGCTGTATAGGAAAAAAACCGTGTTTATGGGATTAGGTATGATCCAGGGTTTGAGGCATCCACTGACGACATCCACCCCAGAAATGGGGAGACTATTGTGTTTCTTCCTTCAATTAATTGCGTGAGGCCTACCCACACTGGGGAGGGCCATCTGCTCTACTCGGTTTACCAATTCACACCTTAATCTCATACAGAAACTCTTAGAGACACACCCAGAATAATGTTTAACTAAATATTTGGGCACCCCTTGGCCCAGTCAAGTTGACACATAAAATTAACTACCACAGTGTCATAAAATTTTAAAACCAATGCAAAACTAGGAATTGTTAATACCTCCTCACTTATCATTTTTTGCCATCATTTATTCTGCTCCTGTTCCACTGACCTGCTTTCTGCACTTCAAACAGTCTAAGTGTTGACCCAAATTGGAAATTTTGCCCATGCTGTTTTGTCTGCTCAGAACAATTTTTCTTTCTTATCATTTAAATTTTAACTCAATTGTTACCTCCCCCAAGTGACCAAGTGATACCCTTTATCTAACATCACACTCAACCCAACCTCCCAATATTAACCTGAGAAATTCCCATTCACTTTTTATTTTGCTTTCCTGTTGTAGTTTCTTTATGGAACTCATTAACTGAGATTATCTTACTTATTTTCATTTTATCTTTTGTGTTTCTTATCTTTCTCTTCAACTAGGAGATAACCACCACGAAGGTAAGAGCCATATCTATCTCATTCATTACTTTGTCTCCAGAACTCAGACAAGTATCTGGCACAGAGCAAATGCTTCATAAATATGGAATGCATGAATGAATAGGAGCTCCTAACATCTTCAGTCAACCATCCTGAACTAACCGTTGTGGCCAGCAGGTAGAATAATCTTCCTAAAACAGCACTTATCATATCATTTCCCTGCTCAGCAGCCGTTAATGTTTTACCATGGTTTTCTGAATAGCTTACAGATTTTGGTTGACATTCAAGGCCCTAGATTATAAACAAGGGATATTTTGGCAGCTCTAACCATTTCTCCCAAACACTCCAATGTTCAGCCAAACTTTACCAGTCACAAAGCTTCCCATTTCTATATCAAAATATTTCCCATCAGTGTAGATAAAGCTCCAATGCCACCGCTTCCATTGAGGCTTCCCTGAACACCCTAAATGAGCCAGTAGAGTTTATCTTTTTCACCTGGATTCTGATGATCCTTGCTTTATGCCACTGTATGAGAATATACAGCTTTATATGAATGTTATTTTAGCATATGCATTCTTTTCCATTATTAGAATGCAAGCATGCTGAAAACAGAGTGAGGCAGACTGGTGCAGTTGAAAGAGTGCAAACTTTGATATGGGTGAAGTAATTTACTAAAACACTCTAAAAAAATCTAAAGCACTCTTAAAATGGAGAGCCAAACATAATGTCTCTAGTAGGTTGCCTGCCATGTGTTAGGGTATCTGATAAATGTTAGTTTTCTACCTTTATTCCATATTTATCTTTATAGTTTTATAGTGCTATTGTCACAGATATATAGCAAATATTTGCAGAATAAATTGAACAAAAATTATCTTCATAATTTCAATTTATCATGTCAGCTCCATGCCTGTGTTTTAACTTCTACATGGATAACCTGCCATTACCTCAAACTTACCACATCCCACATACGACTCCATATTGTCCTTGTTCTTCTGTTCAATTGCCTTAGTTCTGTCACTGGCAAGACTACTGCCCACTTCTCAATACATCTGAGTCACCCTATCTTTTTCATCTTCTTTATCTTCATTGCCTGCTAAATGTTTTTTTCCTGCTTACCTTTTAAGATATCTCTAGCATCTGTCTCTTTCTTTTCCCTCCATTACCACCATTCTAGTTCAGTCTCTTAGCAAAACTTAGCTAAATCAGTCTATGAAATCCCATGAAATATTAGAAAAAGTTCCAGCATTAGTACTATGTATTTAGCTTAAAGGATGGATGGTTGGATGGGTGGATGGATGTGTCAACTGACAATAGACCTAATCCCTGATATTGTGCATTAGTTTCCAAAACTGAATTTGTGATAGGGGGTTTTCAGCTATTTTAAGAGATCAAAAACTTTCCAAAACAAAATTGTTTTACTTGAATTTGAAAATTTCTATCATTAAGCAATATGAAAATTAAGTTTGCAGGTAAGTGTATTTGGAAGTGTTCTTTTTTTTTTATACTTTAAGTTTTAGGGTACATGTGCACATTGTGCAGGTTAGTTACATATGTATACATGTGCCATGCTGGTGCACTGCACCCACTAACTCGTCATCTAGCATTAGGTATATCTCCCAATGCTATCCCTCCCCCCTCCTCCCACCCCACAACAGTCCCCAGAGTGTGATATTCCCCTTCCTGTGTCCATGTGATCTCATTGTTCAATTCCCACCTATGAGTGAGAATATGCGGTGTTTGGTTTTTTGTTCTTGCGATAGTTTACTGAGAATGATGTTTTCCAATTTCATCCATGTCCCTACAAAGGACATGAACTCATCATTTTTTATGGCTGCATAGTATTCCATGGTGTATATGTGCCACATTTTCTTAATCCAGTCTATCATTGTTGGACATTTGGCTTGGTTCCAAGTCTTTGCTATTGTGAATAGTGCCACAATAAACATACGTGTGCATGTGTCTTTATAGCAGCATGATTTATAGTCCTTTGGGTATATATCCAGTAATGGGATGGCTGGGTCAAATGGTATTTCCAATTCTAGATCCCTGAGGAATCGCCACACTGACTTCCACAATGGTTGAACTAGTTTACAGTCCCACCAACAGTGTAAAAGTGTTCCTATTTCTCCACATCCTCTCCAGCACCTGTTGTTTCCTGACTTTTTAATGATTGCCATTCTAACTGGTGTGAGATGGTATCTCATAGTGGTTTTGATTTGCATTTCTCTGATGGCCAGTGATGATGAGCATTTTTTCATGTGTTTTTTGGCTGCATAAATGTCTTCTTTTGATAAGTGTCTGTTCATGTCCTTTGCCCACTTTTTGATGGGGTTGTTTGTTTTTTTCTTGTAAATTTGAGTTCATTGTAGATTCTGGATATTAGCCCTTTGTCAGATGAGTAGGTTGCAAAAATTTTCTCCCATTTTGTAGGTTGCCTGTTCACTCTGATGGTAGTTTCTTTTGCTGTGCAGAAGCTCTTTAGTTTAATTAGATCCCATTTGTCAATTTTGGCTTTTGTTGCCATTGCTTTTGGTATTTTAGACACGGAGTCTTTGCCCATGCCTATGTCCTGAATGGTAATGCCTAGGTTTTCTTCTAGGGTTTTTATGGTTTTAGGTCTAACGTTTAAGTCTTTAATCCATCTTGAATTGATTTTTGTATAAGGTGTAAGGAAGGGATCCAATTTCAGCTTTCTACATATGGCTAGCCAGTTTTCCCAGCACCATTTATTAAATAGGGAATCCTTTCCCCATTGCTTGTGTTTCTCAGGTTTGTCAAAGATCAGATAGTTGTAGATGTGCAGCGTTATTTCTGAGGGCTCTGTTCTGTTCCATTGATCTATATCTCTGTTTTGGTACCAGTACCATGCTGTTTTGGTTACTGTAGCCTTGTAGTATAGTTTGAAGTCAGGGAGCGTGATGCCTCCAGCTTTGTTCTTTTGGCTTAGGATTGACTTGGTGATGCGGGCTCTTTTTTGGTTCCATATGAACTTTAAAGTAGTTTTCTCCAATTCTGTGAAGAAAGGCATTGGTAGCTTGATGGGGATGGCATTGAATCTATAAATTACCTTGGGCAGTATGGCCATTTTCACAATATTGATTCTTCCTACCCATGAGCATGGAATGTTCTTCCATTTGTTTGTATCCTCTTTTATTTCCTTGAGCAGTGGTTTGTAGTTCTCCTTGAAGAGGTCCTTCACATCCCTTGTAAGTTGGATTCCTAGGTATTTTATTCTCTTTGAAGCAATTGTGAATGGGAGTTCACTCATGATTTGGCTCTCTGTTTGTCTGTTGTTGGTGTATAAGAATGCTTGTGATTTTTGTACATTGATTTTGTATCCTGAGACTTTGCTGAAGTTGCTTATCAGCTTAAGGAGATTTTGGCCTGAGACAATGGGGTTTTCTAGATATACAATCATGTCATCTGCAAACAGGGACAATTTGACTTCCTCTTTTCCTAATTGAATACCCTTTATTTCCTTCTCCTGCCTAATTGCCCTGGCCAGAACTTCCAACACTATGTTGAATAGGAGTGGTGAGAGAGGGCATCCCTGTCTTGTGCCATTTTTCAAAGGGAATGCTTCCAGTTTTTGCCCATTCAGTATGATATTGGCTGTGGGTTTGTCATAGATAGCTCTTATTATTTTGAAATACGTCCCATCAATACCTAATTTATTGAGAGTTTTTAGCATGAAGGGTTGTTGAATTTTGTCAAAGGCTTTCTCTTCATCTATTGCGATAATCATGTGGTTTTTGTCTTTGGCTCTGTTTATATGCTGGATTACATTTATTGATTTGTGTATATTGAACCAGCCTTGAATCCCAGGGATGAAGCCCACTTGATCATGGTGGATAAGCTTTTTGATGTGCTGCTGGATTTGTTTTGCCAGTATTTTATTGAGGATTTTTGCATCAATGTTCATCAAGGATATTGGTCTAAAATTCTCTTTTTTGGTTGTGTCTCTGCCCGGCTTTGGTATCAGGAGGATGCTGGCCTCATAAAATGAGTTAGGGAGGATTCCCTCTTTTTCTATTGATTGGAATAGTTTCAGAAGGAATGGTACCAGTTCCTCCTTGTACCTCTGGTAGAATTCGGCTGTGAATCCATCTGGTCCTGGACTCTTTTTGGTTGGTAAGCTATTGATTATTGCCACAATTTCAGATCCTGTTATTGGTCTATTCAGAGATTCAAGTTCTTCGTGGTTTAGTCTTGGGAGAGTGTATGTGTCGAGGAATTTATCCATTTCTTCTAGATTTTCTAGTTTATTTGCGTAGAGGTGTTTGTAGTATTATCTGATGGTAGTTTGTATTTCTGTGGGATCGGTGGTGATATCCCCTTTATCATTTTTTATTGCGTCTATTAGATTCTTCTCTCTTTTTTTCTTTATTAGTCTTGCTAGCGGTCTATCAATTTTGTTGATCCTTTCAAAAAACCAGCTCCTGGATTCATTAATTTTTTGAAGGGTTTTTTGTGTCTCTATTTCCTTCATTTCTGCTCTGATCTTAGTTATTTCTTGCCTTCTGCTAGCTTTTGAATGTGTTTGCTCTTGCTTTTCTAGTTCTTTTAATTGTGATGTTAGGGTGTCAATTTTGGATCTTTCCTGCTTTCTCTTGTGGGCATTTAGTGCTATAAATTTCCCTCTACACACTGCTTTGAATGCGTCCCAGAGATTCTGGTATGTTGTGTCTTTGTTCTCATTGGTTTCAAAGAACATCTTTATTTCTGCCTTCATTTCGTTATGTACCCAGTAGTCATTCAGGAGCAGGTTGTTCAGTTTCCATGTAGTTGAGTGGTTTTGAATGAGTTTCTTAATCCTGAGTTCTAGTTTGATTGCACTGTGGTCTGAGAGATAGTTTGTTGTAATTTCTGTTCTTTTACATTTGCTGAGGAGAGCTTTACTTCCAAGTATGTGGTCAATCTTGGAATAGATGTGGTGTGGTGCTGAAAAAAATGTATATTCTGTTGATTTGGGGTGGAGAGTTCTGTAGATGTCTATTAGGTCTGCTTGGTGCAGAGCTGAGTTCAATTCCTGGGTATCCTTGTTGACTTTCTGTCTCGTTGATCTGTCTAATGTTGACAGTGGGGTGTTAAAGTCTCCCATTATTAATGTGTGGGAGTCTAAGTCTCTTTGTACGTCACTCAGGACTTGCTTCATGAATCTGGGTGCTCCTGTATTGGGTGCATATATATTTAGGATAGTTAGCTCTTCTTGTTGAATTGATCCCTTTACCATTATGTAATGGCCTTCTTTGTCTCTTTTGATCTTTGTTGGTTTAAAGTCTGTTTTATCAGAGACTAGGATTGCAACCCCTGCCTTTTTTTGTTTTCCATTTGCTTGGTAGATCTTCCTCCATCCTTTTATTTTGAGCCTATGTGTGTCTCTGCTCATGAGATGGGTTTCCTGAATACAGCACACTGATGGGTCTTGACTCTTTATCCAATTAGCCAGTCTATGTCTTTTAATTGGAGCATTTAGTCCATTTACATTTAAAGTTAATATTGTTATGTGTGAATTTGATCCTGTCATTATGATGTTAGCTGGTGATTTTGCTCGTTAGTTGATGCAGTTTCTTCCTAGTCTCGATGGTCTTTACATTTTGGCATGATTTTGCAGCAGCTGGTACCGGTTGTTCCTTTCCATGTTTAGCGCTTCCTTCAGGAGCTCTTTTAGGGCAGGCCTGGTGGTGACAAAATCTCTCAGCGTTTGCTTGTCTGTAAAGGATTTTATTTCTCCTTCACTTATGAAGCTTAGTTTGGCTGGATATGAAATTCTGGGTTGAAAATTCTTTTCTTTAAGAATGTTGAATATTGGCCCCCACTCTCTTCTGGCTTGTAGGGTTTCTGCCGAGAGATCCGCTGTTAGTCTGATGGGCTTCCCTTTGAGGGTAACCCGACCTTTTTCTCTGGCTGCCCTTAACATTTTTTCCTTCATTTCAAATTTGGTGAATCTGACAATTATGGGTCTTGGAGTTGCTCTTCTCGAGAGTATCTTTGTGGCGCTCTCTGTATTTCCTGAATCTGAACATTGGCCTGCCTTGCTAGATTGGGGAAGTTCTCCTGGATAATATCCTGCAGAGTGTTTTCCAACTTGGTTCCATTCTCCCCATCACTTTCAGGTACACCAATCAGACGTAGATTTGGTCTTTTCACATAGTCCCGTATTTCTTGGAGGCTTTGCTCATTTCTTTTTATTCTTTTTTCTCTAAACTTCCCTTCTCACTTCATTTCATTCATTTCATCTTCCATCGCTGATACCCTTTCTTCCAGTTGATCGCATTGCCTCCTGAGGCTTCTGCATTCTTCATGTAGTTCTCGAGCCTTGGTTTTCAGCTCCATCAGCTCCTTTAAGCACTTCTCTGTATTGGTTATTCTAGTTATACATTCTTCTAAATTTTTTTCAAGTTTTCAACTTCTTTGCCTTTGGTTTGAATGTCCTCCCGTAGCTCAGAGTAATTTGATCGTCTGAAGCCTTCTTCTCTCAGCTCATCAAAGTCATTCTCCATCCAGCTTTGTTCTGTTGCTGGTGAGGAACTGCGTTCCTTTGGAGGAGGAGAGGCACTCTGCGTTTTAGAGTTTCCAGTTTTTCTGCTCTGTTTTTTCCCCATCTTTGTGGTTTTATTTACTTTTGGTCTTTGATGATGGTGATGTACAGATGGGTTTTTGGTGTGGATGTCCTTTCTGTTTGTTAGTTTTCCTTCTAACAGACAGGACCCTCAGCTGCAGGTCTGTTGGAATACCCTGCCGTGTGAGGTGTCAGTGTGCCCCTGCTGGGGGGGTGCCTCCCAGTTAGGCTGCTCAGGGGTCAGGGGTCAGGGACCCACTTGAGGAGGCAGTCTGCCTGTTCTCAGATCTCCAGCTGCGTTCTGGGAGAACCACTGCTCTCTTCAAAGCTGTCAGACAGGGACATTTAAGTCTGCAGAGGTTACTGCTGTCTTTTTGTTTGTCTGTGCCCTGCCCCCAGAGGTGGAGCCTACAGAGGCAGGCAGGCCTCCTTGAGCTGTGCTGGGTTCCGCCCAGTTCGAGCTTCCAGGCTGCTTTGTTTACCTAATCAAGCCTGGGCAATGGCGGGCGCCCCTCCCCCAGCCTCGCTGCTGCCTTGCAGTTTGATCTCAGACTGCTGTGCTAGCAATCATCGAGACTCTGTGGGGATAGGACCCTCCGAGCCAGGTGTGGGATATAATCTGGTGGTGCGCCGTTTTTTAAACCCGTCGGAAAAGCGCAGTATTCAGGTGGGAGTGACCCGATTTTCCAGGTGCTGTCCGTCACCCCTTTCTTTGACTGGGAAAGGGAACTCCCTGACCCCTTGCACTTCCCAAGTGAGGCAATGCCTCGCCCTGCTTCGGCTCGCGCATGGTGCGCGCACCCACTGACCTGCGCCCACTGTCTGGCACTCCCTAGAGAGATGAACGCGGTACCTCAGATGGAAATGGAGAAATCACCGTCTTCCGCGTCGCTCACGCTGGGAGCTGTAGACCGGAGCTGTTCCTATTCGGCCATCTTGGCTCCTCCCCCTGGAAGTGTTCTATACTTAAACCAACACAGAATATTTTAACTCTAAGTTAGAGCTTACCTTTTAAAGAAGCTCATCACCAGGTGCTAGCAATCACTGTCAAGGGAAATACAATGATGGAGATCAACAGTGAGCCCTGGGCCTTCAAAGGGGATGAGAACATTAACAGCTTCATATTTAAAAATCTGTATGGACTATACAGTACCTGAATCCAAGCCAAAAATAATCATTTATTTCAAATGGTTTCATCAAATTATTCCTACAGTCTCTGTTGTTTTAAATGCACTCCGCCACAGTTTGGCATTAGTCACACCTGATATTCTGGCAAATGCCTCTAGGCCATATATTGCCTAACTTTGCTTTCTCCTTGTTAGGTAGCCAGCCTCCAACACAACTTTTAACAATTCCTGCCTACTGGTATTCATACCCTTGTATTAATTCTCTCCCAGATTATTCTAGGGTTGGTCCATGTGACCAATAGAATATGCCAGAAGTAATGCTGTGTCACTTTCAAGATTAGGTTATAAAAGATTGTAACTTCTGTCTCAGACTGTACTTCAACTCACACTAATGACTACATGTGGAGTTCTCCTGAGTAGTTTACAAGGAAGGAAAAAACTTAAGCTTGGTTTACAGGTGATTCTGCATGATATTCAGACAACGTCCAAAAGTGAATGGCTGTAGCCTCTGCTTCATTCGGGGATGACCCTGAAGGACAGTGGTGAAGGAAAATACTCTGACTTACAGAACTCTGAGCAGTGTGCCTAGCTGTTTATTTTTCCTAGAAAGAAAGATGCCCAGAGATATTGATATGCACCAACTCATGGGCTATGTCTAATGGTTTGACTGGATGAGCAGGGACTTGGATGATTGGAAAATGGATGGGAATGAAGTCTAAGGAAGAAATATATGAATAAAGCCTTCCAAATGGGAACAGAGCGTAAAGATATTTACATTCCATGTGGAGGCTCACCAAAGGGTACCTCAGTAGCATAAGATTTTATTAATCAGGTAGATAAAATGACCCTTGACCATAAAATGTGGATTTCAATCAGCCTCCTCCTTCAGTCACTCCTGCCAATGTCCATTGGGTTCATGAACAAAGCATCAAGGATGAAGGGTTTGCATAAGCTCAACAGCATGGACTTTCACCCACCAGGGCTGATTTAGCTACAGCCATTCCTGGATGCCTGGTCTACCAATAGCAGAGACCAACACCGAAACCCTCATATGGCACCTCCTGGAGGGATTAATCAACTTCCTGGCATAAAGTAGACCACATTAAACCACTTCTGTAATGGGGCTGGCGAGACTTGTTCCTAAGAGAATAGATATGGACTTGCCTACTCTGACCGCAATTTTTTAGGCAAAACTACCAGACGGCCTTATCTACTATCATGCAATTCCACACAGCATCTCTTCTGCCCATGGAAGTAACCACAGCAAATGAAATGCAGCAAGACAGTAATACACACAGAATTTATTCATGGTCTTACCATATTCCCATTATCCTGAAGACACTGGCTTCATAGAAGGGTGTGATGGCCTTTTGAAGACTCAGTTATGGTGTCAGCTGGGTGGCAACACCTTGTGAAGCTGAGGTAACATCCTTTATGATGGGTTGAAATGGCTAATACATTGTCCTGTGTTTGTGATAGCCAAAATCTGCAAGTTCAGGAATCAAGAGGTGGAAATGAGAGTGATATTGCTCCTAGTGATCTTATAGCAAAAGGATGGCTTCCTGTTTCTACAGTTTTGGGCTTTGCTGGTGTAGAGACCAAGTATTTTCAAAGAGAGGACAGCTTCCACCAGGGGACACAATAATGACTCCATTGAATGGGAAGTTGAGACTGCCATCTAGTCAGCTTGAGCTTGCATGCTTGTGAATCAACAGGCAAGGAAGTGAACGGCTGTAGTAATTGATCCTGACTATCGATGGAAATCGAGTAGCTACTACACAATGGAAATAAGGAGGAATAAGTCTGGAATGCAGGAGATTCTCTGCAGGATTTTCTACGTCCTGTGATTAAAATAAATGGAAAACTACCACAACCCAATTGAGGCAGAACTGTTAACAGTCCAGACCCTCCAGGAATAAAAGTTTGCCTCACCCCATCCATCAGACTGTGAACTACATTGGGTGTTAGCTTTTTGCTGAGGGCAAAGAGAATATGAAACAAATGGTGAAAAAAGGTGGTTATAAATACAAGCTATGACCAAGCGACCAGTTGCATAAATGAAAACTGTAATCGTTATATTTCTTGCATATTTTGAAAAAAACATGAATGAGCTAGAACGGAATTTGACAAACTTTTTAAGCAAAAAGCCAGACAGTAAATATTTTGGACTTTTTTAGGATTTGTGGGCCATGTACAGTCTCTGCTACATATTTTTTTATTTTATTCTTTTTTGACAATCTTTAATTTAAAAATAATGTTATTTTATATTTTATTTGTTATTTTCATCCTATTGGTATATTATTAAATCATCATAAAATACTTTGAAACAAAACTTTTAGCTCTCAGGCTGTATAAAAACAGGTTAAGGGATGAATTTTGCTTACAGGCCATAGTTTTCCAACCCTTAGACTAGAAGAAGAATAACCATTATCCACAGACAAAAACAAAACTTTGTGTTGTCTTCTGGGAAAAGGCTTAGCATGTTTTCCTTGTATGCTGAATAAGTGCATTGTGTTAGGCATAATGTCATTACTGTTTCTATTTGGAGATTAAGTATAGTTTAAGAAAATATGTCCGGGTGCCAAAGTGACAAGTTGTGGACTGGTAGCTTTGTAATGTGTCAACTTGGTTAGATTGAATGACATTTCCCAGAATTCCCTTCCCAGTATGTTGCCAGTTAGAGTAGGCCACAAGTGAATCTTATGCACGATTTGGAGGGTAGAAGAAGAGAAGCAACAGCAGTTGTTCTGAATGCTCACACACATTGTCACTGGCATGGAGCAGTAGCCAAATCTGCAACTGCCCCACCTTCTCCTGAATCCCCAGATGATGAAGAATGCCAGCTTCTCCTGTAGACACTCGTACTATCAACATCAGAACAATGGAAACTGCCATCTTATGCTTGTGGGTCCCAGCTAGCTCTTGCACTTCCCTACTTTCCATCTTACCTTCCTAACTCTGCTTTCCCTGCAGACTTTGAGCTCCAGCATAGCTCTCAAAGGCAACAGCCTTGCAGAGACTATCCAGTGAGCTTCCAAAATTGTGTAATGTCAAACCCCAGTAACAAATGTCTTTTTAAAATGTATATATCTGTGTATCTATGTGTGTATGTATGTGTGTAATATATAAAATCTCCTAATGGCTTTGCTTCTCTAACTGATATACCCTGCTATCTGAGTTTAGTGGTGTCTTATCTCTGAGAGCTGTTATACTATTTCCATCTCCAACTAGGAGAACCAAGAAGCAGTGAGTCTTTGTATATTGGAATTCTGAGCTTGATATATTTTCCTTATTCTGAGTGTGCAGTAAAATAATGTGGCTACTGTTAAGAGAATTCCATACTTTCGAGCTCAACAAAAATGTTTTAAGATATAAATTTTGCATAGTGATCGTTTATTGCACCAAATTACTTCCTTATTATCTTTCTCTCATTCAGAGAGATCCCAGTTATGGAATGCATAGATTTCTGCATACTATTTATTTACAAAACCATAATAAAATTATATTTTAACGCAAACAATTATAGACAACCTGTAATCTTATTTGGCACTCTTCTCTTATTTGTCTCTATGCTAGTAATCTCATACTTTCACTAAACAGTTCCTATCAAGCTTACTTTGTATCCTGTGGTCAGCTTACTACAGTGCAAAGCCAATTACTCTTGGATAATAGACTTACACTCTTATTTGTAGCCGTATCTATTCCTATGGAACATACCTGGTGAAATCTCTCCCAGATCCAAATTGCTTTTGTCTCAGGATTCCTGGTCCTGAAATGTTATGATTTACCATCTGAAGAGTGAAACAATATATTACCATGTGGTGGCAGGAACAAAGGAGACACAGCTAAGGGGGAGAGGAGACAAAAATAAAGACTTAAGGAAAACATAATAGTAATAAAAATAAGTTGCTAACACATGTTTTACATAGATTCTGTGCTACACATTATGCTATGCTTTTAAAAAAGCATATTTTCAGTGTATCAGGAAATATTTATTAAATAAGTACTTTTAATCTTTGATTACGAAATATTTTCTATAATATCATAAGTAAATTTTTAAAAAACTAACATCTATGCATAAGAAATGGAACATTATCAACAGCTTGAAAGTCCTCTATATCCCCTTCTTGATGCATCATCCTGATTTCCATCATGTCCAAATGTAGGTACAGATCTGAATTTTGTGTTTCTTATTTTCTTGCTTTTCTTTATCATTTGGCCTCATGTATATGTATCCTGAAACAATGTATTTAGCTTTGCTTGTCTTTATACTTCATATAGATGGAATTAAATTACATATATTCAGTGATTTCCTTTTTTACTCAACCTTATGCTTGTGAGATGAATCTATGTTCTGTGTGTGTGTGTACTTGGGGCTTATTCATTTTCACTATTGTGGACTTTCTGACTATACCTGACTTTATTTATCCACTCATCTATCAATAGATACCTGAGTTATTTGCTATTCTGTTTTTTCCATGATTAAAATTAATTCTACAATAAACATTCTTGAATGTATCCTTTGATCAACATGTGTTAGTGATTTTCTTTTGCCCATAAGTGTTTCCTGGATTTGTTTCCACTCTACAAGTTATTTCTATATTGTTTTCCAAAGCAGCTGCAACTATACATATATATATATATATATATATATGTATGTATGTATGTATATATGCCCACCAGCATTATTAAAAAGAAATTCCTTTTGTTATATTTTTTCAATGTTTCACAATCTGGTGGGTGTGAAATTAAAGCCACATTGAAGTTAAATTTGCATTTTCCCAACTATTAAAGGGGTTGAACATTGTTTCATATGTTCATTGGCTACTTGTTTTCCATCTTCTTTGAAATGTCAGTTCATATTTGTTGCCTTTTTTTAACTACTTTTTTTTTTCTTAAGAATTTTTAGCACTTGTTTATATATTCTGGAAGCTAAGCCTATGTCCATTATGCACAACAAATAACTTCTTTCATTTTGTGGCTTATTATTTAGGTTTCTTTATGGTATCTGTTAATTAGCAAAAGTTCTTAATTTTAATATGCTTGAATGTATCAATCAATCTTTCCTTTATGGCTAGTACTGTTTATGGAAATATTACTTACCCTGAGCTCTTAAATAGTTCGTATTTTCCTTTAAGTTCTGGCATTGCCTTTCACATTTAATTACTTAATCCACTTCTGTAGTAGACACACATTTTATTTTTCTACTTGTACCAAAAAGGGCTACATTTCCATCCAGCTTTGTAGTTTGGTGGAGCCATAGGAATGTGTACTGCGCCCTAAAATCTCTTGCAAGATCCTCAGTGCTCCCCATCTGCCAGCCGGCTACAGAAGACACGGAGGATAACTAAGCCAAGGGGATGGCACAGCCACTAGATAAAAGGAGCTGGATCTGTGAATGACAATGGAGATCAGACCACTGACACACCTCTCCCCCATAAATCTACATTAGAATGTGACACCGATAGGAAATAAACACTTTTCATGTGAATCCATTGTAATCTGTGGAGGTGAGAAAAATAGCATACCCGGCTAATAAAACTTAGGAATTAATTTTTTATTTTTTTTTTTGAGATGGAGTCTCACTCTGTCACCCAGGCTGGAGTGCAGTGGCGTGATCTCGGCTCACTGCAAGCTCCGCCTCCCGGGTTCTCGCCATTCTCCTGCCTCAGCCTCCCGAGTAGCTGGGACTACAGGCGCCCGCCACCACGCCTGGCTAATTTTTTTTTATTTTTAGTAGAGACGGGGTTTCATTGTGTTAGCCAAGAAGGTCTCGATCTCTTGGCCTCGTGATCTGTCCGCCTTGGCCTCCCAAAGTGCTGGGATTACAGGCGTAAGCCACCGCGCCCGGCCAGGAATTAATTTTTGTATGGTTAAGAAAGATGGAATTCATTGCCTCATATGAATAAACAATGGTCCAAGTTCCATGTATTGAATAAATCCAGCCTTTCCTCATTGACCTGCATTGCCATATCTGTCATATATCAAGTTTCCAAATATGTCTGGGAATGCACCTGGAGTTTCTATTCCATTCCAAGCATCTATCCCTGTACCAGTACAGATGGTTTTAGTTATTGGTGTTAGGATAAATCTTGTCATGGAGTAGAACGAGAATCTCCACTTTATTCTGCTTTGTCAAGAACTTCTTGTCTTGGATCTTCACTCTTCTATATGGAATTTAGGATCAGCCTCATAAACTTTATGAAAAGCTTTATGAGATTCTTTTATTGAAGTTGCTTTGAAACAATAGATAAACTGGGGAAAAATTGACATCCTCATAATATAAAGGCTTCTTACCCATTTGTTTGTACTTACTTGGTGTTTTTCAGTAAAGGTCTATAATTTTATGCAGAAAAGCATGAAATCCAAAACTTAGATAGCATTTGTGGTAGGCAGAATAATGCCCCTTCCCCAACCCCCAAATGTCAATGTACTAATTCCCAGAACCTGTTAATATGTTACCTTAAATGACAAAAGGGACTTTGCAGATGGGATTAGGGTAAAGGACTTTGAGATGAGATGATCCTGTTTTACCCAAGTGCATCCAACTGAATCACATGAATACTTAAAAGTGAGGACCATTCCTGGCTGTGGTCAGAGGAAGATGTGACTGCACAGAATGATCAGAAAATACACTTTGAAGATGGAAGAAGAGGAACATGAACCAAGAAATGTAGGAGGCCTATGAATCTTGTAATGGCAAGGCAAAGATTCTCCCCTTAAAGCCTCCAGAAATGAATGCGGTGTTGCTGACATGAAGATTTTAACCCAATGAGACCTGTGTCAAACTCCTAGCTACTAAACTGTAAGATAATAAATTTATATTCTTTTAAGCCATTGAATTTGTGGCAATTTGTTATGGCAGCAATAGAAAACTAATAAAGCATTATTATTGGTTTGTACAATTAGAGTTTGTTCAAATTTACCTGTATATTTATCATTTTTATTGCCAATGATTCTTTTAGAATTTTAGACCCTCCTAGGTGATGATTTGGCTCTGTGTCCCCACCCAAATCTCATGTTGAACTGTGATCCTGAGTGTTGGAGGTGGGGCCGGGTGGGAGGTAATTGGGTCATGGGGGCAGATTTCCCCCTTGCTGTTCTCATGATAGTGAGTGAGTTCTCACGAGATCTGGTTGTTTAAAAGTGTGGAGCACTTCCCCCTTAGCTCTCTCTCTCTCTTCTGCTCCACCATAGTAAGATGTGTTTGCCTCTTCTTGGCCTTCTGCCATGATTGTAAGTTTCCTGAGGCTTCCCAGCCATGCTTCCTGTACAGCCTGTAGAACTGAGTCAATTAAACCCCTTTTTTCATAAATTTCCCAGTGTCAGGTAGTTCTTTATAGCAGTGTGAGACGAATCTAACACACTAAGATTAGCGTTTTTCTTTCCGAAGTAAACTTTAGAAGGTAATTGACTTAGCATATGTTTATGAAACACTTAGGTTCTTTTTTGGCCTTTTGTTTGTCTTTGTTTTTGAAAAATTTCACAGAGTATGCAATTTAATGTTGACAGTTGTTTTTCTCTCCGTACTTTGAAGATATTCCACTCTTTCTCATTCAAATATCAGATATCTGACTAATTAATTATCCTTCATTAGGTATTCTGTCTTTTCTTTCTGACTACTTTTAAACTTTCTCTGTGGCTACTTTTTCTTTATTTTCACTGTATTATTTCTAAGAGTATTTCTTTTTATTTAAGCCTTTGGGGATTTGTTTGCTTCTTGAGTATGAAAATCCTTGTATTTCTCATTAATTATCTCTTCAATGTTTTGTCTTCACAATTGTCTCTATTATCTTTTTTTATTAATTTTTTTTGCAGCTCCATGTGTTGAACTTTCTCACTCAGAGTCCTATACTCTTAAACCAACTTTGATATTTTCTATTTCTATGTCTTTCTGAGCTTCATTCTGGATAATTCATTGTCTCTGATAGTTTGAAAATTGATACAGTTAAATTGAGATAACCACTAGAACAGTCAGAATTTGGGTTTGGAAGCTACAAGGTGAAGACTGAGAATTGAAAGTTCTTTTTTTTTTTTGTTTTTGAGACAGGCTCTCACTTTGTTGCCCAGGCTGGAGTGCAATGGCACGATCATAGCTCACTGCAGCCTCCATCTTCTGGACTCAAGTGATCCTCCCATCTCAGCCTCCTAAGTAGCTGGGACTACAGGTGTGCATCACCATGCCTGGCTAAATTCTTTATTTTTTAGTAGAGATAAGGTCATGCTATGTTACCCAGGCTGCTCTTGAACTCCTGAACTTAAGCAATCCTCCCGTCTTGGCATCCTAAGGTGCTGGGATTACAAGCATGTGCCATGGTGCCTGGCAAGAATGGAAAATTCTAAGACCCTAGATAAGAGAGAGGAAAAGGTACAGAGTAGCAAATACCAATTAAGTATGGATAGCAGGAAGGAAAGCAGAAAAGGCAGGTCTTGAAATGTTTCAAGTCATCATTTAGAAAATTATTTCTGAAAAGAGAATAATGGGAAACTTATACGTAAAACAATATTTTGTTCAATCTCCTACTCTGACAAATAAGAGAGCACATCCTGCTTGAATTTTTGTCTTTTTTGTACCAGAGATTAGATGGCATTTAAAAAAATGGAGGAAAAGTCTTGCCTAGTAATAAAGTTTATTAACTAGGCTTCAAAATTTAAGGGTTAAATTTTAAAGAGGGCACTATGAACACCTATAGAACATGTAGGGATAAAGGAGAGTCACTACAAAGGACTAAAGTGTACAGACATTGCTTTCATAGTAAGCATGAGTGTTTTCTTTATATTTTGATTTGTATTACCTAAGTAGTGGTTCGAAGCTGCATTTCTTTGCAAAAAATAAAAACATCACATATAAAGCCAAAATCCCTTTACTATCCTCCTCAATTTTAGAACATTCATCCTGGAGGAACCATGATGTAGATTTTCTCTAAATATTTACATTAAAAGGTGCCCAGATAGAACATATGAACTAATTGTATGTGTACTATATGTGTAGTTTGTATATATGTGTTTCATATAAGATTAGAAACATAGGTAGATGCTGCCCACTAGAAAGCCAGAATGAAACTGATAATATTCTAATCAGGAAGCGACGAGGTCCCAAAACAGGACTGACAGAGCAAAGGAAGTGGCTAAAGTTGATAAATGTGTATATGTGGAAGGAGAAAGATTTGAAAGTAAAGATAATGCCAAAGATTTGGGCTTAAATACCAGGATAGCAGCTGGTGATTCCCTTGGTGTTTAGGAAGTAGGGCAGTTGGGAAAATTTTAAATGAAACAAAGACATTTGTGTGAGGCATGCTGATTTGAGGTAGAAATGACCTCAAATCTGATTTAAATCTTTAATCAAATAATAGTCTTCTGTGGCTTGAAATGTACCTTATTTGACTATCTATTTAATAAGTATTCTACCCTACTGAATATTGATGTCTATTTAGATCCGTCCCAGTCATCATTATATTCAAAATTTTAAATTCTTTAAAAAGTGTTTCTCTAATTTTTTTTTTCCTTTAACGGACATTCTTTAAGAATTTGCTATTTAACTGTAGTGTTGAACAGTAAATTTTTAATCTGGACAGTTAGAGCTGTGTAACCTCAGTCAAGTCATTTGCCTTCTTGTGGCGAGTGTGCTGTTTAAACAAGGACATGTAGGCTTCCTTTCCCATCAACATTGAAGACTAGGTATCCTAACTTACCCTTCTTCTGAAAGCAACTAAATGCTAAGCAATTCTTTTTTAACTCCTTAAGTGCATTAATAATATGACTACAAGACAAATAAAAAACTAAGTGAAGTCAAGATTCCAGAAGTGTTTCTATGTAAGAGAATAAGAGTAAGTTAGAAACAAGCCAGATTCCTTCCTCCCTGCACCCCACATTCCACCCCCTGCCACTCAGAATGCAAGGAAAATAGCATGATGCTCAATAAGAGAGAAAAAAATTATCCTTTGAAAATTGCTAAAGAAATGCCAACCCTCAGGGCTTATAGGTCAGTTTACATTGGCTGGGTTCTTCAAAAATCTTAAAATGGCATACCAGAAGCAAATGCAAGTGCTCTTTGGAGGAATTACCTCAATCACAGGTCTCAAAGAATTTTAATAGGTGATGCTTCACATGAGATAACATGACAGAAACAGACTACAAAAAATGGCAGATACATGAATTATCAATCATGCATTATAAACCAACCATGTTAAAAGTTTAAGAAATAAGACAGTAGCTTGAAAGTATGAGCAGGAAGAAAGAAAACATAAAAAAGGAACATGAATTTTTGGAAAAGAAAACAAGTAGAACTAGAAATAAAAATTACAATAAATTTAAAATTCAGTGGATTGTACTAACTACATAGTAGATTAAATTAGAGAAACAATAAGTGTACTGGAAGGTGGATCTGAGAAATTATTAGGAATGTAGAATGCAGAGACAAAGAAACAGGAAATATATAAAAGTGATAATGGAAATATGGAGCATAGAGTGAGAAAATTTACCTTATAAAAAAGAAAAAAAGAGAATTGATACAGCAGAAGCGAGGTTTAAAAAATTTCCACAACCAATAACAAACAATAATCCATACCTTCAAGAAGCTCAGCAAATTACAAGCATAAAAAAGTTCATATGTGACAAATCCTACTGGAATTGCAGAGACTTACGTGGTCGAGATATTATTTTGAAAGACCCATTACATTAACAGAAGCAATGATAAACCAGGAATTAATGAACTCTGCTGTGAAGGGTGAGATGGTAAATAATTTAGGTTCTGAAGGCTGTATAATATCTGTCACAAATATTAAACTCTGCCATTTTAGCAAAAGCAGAGATAGAAAATGTGTAAATTATTAAGCAGGCTGTGTTTCAATAAAGCTTTATATACAAAAAAAAAAAAAGATGGTGATCCAGATTTGGCAGGTGGGTCACAGTTTGCTCACCCCTAAGTTAGACTGACATCTAACTCCTCAACAACAAAAATGGGAGACAGAGGCAATAGAATAACTGTAATGAAATGAAATAAGACCATGGCCAACTTGCCCTTCCATAGGCAGCAAAATGTCATTCAAGAATAAGGTAAACTAAAGACATTTCCCAGAAAAAAAAATCTGATAGATTTTACCATCAACATAACTTTACTGAATAAAATTCTTAAAAATGTAACTTCAGGCAAGGGGAAAAAGTGATCTCAGATAAAGAAATAAAAAGATAAAGAGCAATAAAAATAATATGTGAGTAAATCTAAATCAGTATCAACTATGTAAAACAAAAATAAAGGTATAACAAGCATATAAACAATAAATAAATAAGATAGAGCTAAAATTTCCAATGATAATAGCATTTACTGTGAAAGGAGTGACTGGAATAAAGTGCTGTAAGTTCTTAAATTGTTCAGAATGAGGGTGGAAATATTGATTAGCTTTAGGCTATAATATTGATATAAGTAAATTAAATGTATGTAAATGTATATAAACGTCCTAAAGGAAGCACTACATAATAGAAAGAGAAAAAGGAAATCCAAACAATTAAGGGAGAAATACGTTTTTTAAAAATCTACTATAAAAAAGTCAAGAAAGGAAAGAAAAATATCATAGAAAGAGACATACAAAAAGGACAAAAAATATGGTAGAAACGTCTACATATATAAGCAGTTAGCATTAATATAAATATACTGAATGCTCCAAATAAATAAAAATGGTAATGCTGGTTTTTAAAAAGCCACCTATTTACTACCCTAGGGAAGAAGAGCAATTTGAGCCTACAGCAAAGAAAAGGGAATAAATAGTAAAATTTAGAGCAGAAATCAATGAAATTACAAAGACGTAAACAATTAAGAGATTGTTTTGTTTTTGAGACAGGGTCTCACTCTGTCACACAGGCTGTAGTGCAGTGGTGATCATAGCTCACTGCAGCCTCAAACTCTGGTTCAAGTGATCCTCCTGCCTCAGCCTCCCAATAGCTGGCACCACAAGTATGTGCCACCACGCCTGGCTAATTTTTGTATTCTTTGTAGAGATGAGTGTTGTCTCTACAAAGAATGTCACTATGCTGTCCAGGTTGGTCTCAAACTCCTGGGCTCAATCCCACCACAGCCTCCCAAAGTGCTGGGATTACAGACATGAGCTACTGCACCCAGCCTAATAAGAGAATATTGACAAACCTCAAACCTCATTCTTTGAAAAGATTCATACATGTATTAGCCTATAACCAAGAAAAAAGAGAGAAGACACAAATTATAAATATCAGATGAAGGAAGGTCATTATTACTGATCTCATGGATATTAAAAGGATAATAAAATAATACCACAAACAACTCTATGCTTACAAGTTTGATAACTTAGATGAAATGGACCAATTCCTTGAAAGACACAAAGTACCAAAATTCACAAAGAGAAATAGATAATCTGAATAGGCCTATATCTATTTTTAAAATTATTTCAATAATTCATAACCTTCCCCCCAAAAAAGCATCAGGCCCAGATGGTTTTATCGCTAAATTCTACCAAACATTTAAGGATGAAATTACATGAACCAATTTTTTACATTCTTGTAGAGAAATAGAAGCAGACAGAATATTTCTAAACTTAATATATGAAGCTAGAATTAACCTATACCAAAGTCAGACAAAGACATTACAAGGAAGGATAACTAAAGACAGATAGCTTTCATGAACATAGAAAGCTAAAGCAATCTTTTGTTAAAGATTTCATACAAAATCTTTAACAAAATATTCATAAATCTATTTCAACAATCTATAAAGAAAATAATATGCTATGATTGAGTGGGATTTATTTCAAGTGTGCAAGACTGGTTCAAAATTCAAAAATCAATCAATGTACTTCACCAATTAGGCTAAAGACAAAAAAAATCACATACTCAAATCCACTGATGTGGAAAAAGAATTCAACATAATCCAACACCCATGCATAATAAAATTCCTCAGCAAATTAAGAATAGAGGGGAACTTCCCCACTTGATAAAGAAAATCTACAAAAAGATCCACAGCTACATTTTACTTAATGGTGATAAACTAAATATTTTACTCCTAAGACTGGGTACAAGGCCAGGACATCCTTTCTTTCTAGGTACCCGTTCAATTTTTGTGCTGGCAGACCAAGCCTATTCAATTATATGAGAAAATAAAGTAAAATATATAAAGATTGAAAAAAGAAATGAAATGTCTTTATTTACAGATGACATGATTGTCTATGTAAAAAATTTGAAAGACTTGACCAAAAAAATACTCACTCATGGATCCAATAAGTGAGCATTGCAAGATCACAAGATATAAGGATAACATGCAAAATGAATGTTTTTCTATATACCAGGAATGAACAATTGGAATTTAAATTTTAAACAACAAAACATTTACAATAGCACAAAAAAGAGAAAGAAATACTTAGTTATAAATCTAACAAAATATGTACAGGATCTATATGTGGAAAGCTACCCAAGTCTGATGCAAGAAATTAAAGAAGAGGTAAATAAATGAAGAGATAATCCATGTTCATGGAAGGAAGACTCCATATTATTAGTCTAACTTCATCTATAAGCACACTCCTAATCAAAATCCCAGGAAGCTATTTCACATATAGTAATATACTTATCAAAAATTTATGTAGAAAGGTAAAAGATCTAAGATAGCCAACACAAAAAACAAAGAACACCATCTAATTTCAAGACTTACTTTAAAGCTACAGTAATCAAGACAGCATAGTATTGGTGAAATAATAGGTACATAGATCAATTGAACAGAATAGAGGGCACAGAAAAATACCTACAAAAATATATAGTCAACTGATTGTTGACAGAGGAGGAAAGGCAATTGTATTAATTCACTATTGCTATTGTAAAAAATTACCGCAAACTTCATGGCTTACATAACACAAATTTATCTTATAGTTCTAGAGTTCAGAGGTCTGACATGGGTCTCACATGGCTAAAATCAGGTTGTCTGTAGGGGTGTGTTCCTCTCAAAAGATTCTAGGGGACAATACATTTCCCTGTTAGTTTTAGCTTGTTGAGGTGCCACATTTTTTGGCTCATGGCTCAATTCTATCTTCAAAGTTGGCAATAGCCAGTCATGTCTTTCTCTCTTTGCATCACTGTGACATTGCTTCCATCATCATCTCTCCTTCTTTAATTCTTTCACCTCCCTCCTCTACTTTTAAGGAGTCTTGTGGTTACTTTGAAGGGCCATGTAGATACTCCAGAATAATCTCACCATCTCGAGATTAAATGATTAGCAATCTTAATTCTATCTTCAGCTTTGATTCCCCTTTGCCATGTAACCTAAACCTAATTTACTCAGAGGTCTTGGGAATTAGGGTGTAAACATCTTTGAGAGGGTGTTATTGGGGAGGGGTGGATTTTTTTTTCTTTTTTCTTTTTTTTTTTTCTTTTTTTTTTTTTTGCTTACCACAGCAATTCAGGAGAAAGAATAAACTTTTCAGAAAATGGTGCATGAACAATTGGATGTCCATGTGTTAAAAAAAAAAAAAAAGGTAAATCTAGCACAGATCTTATACCTTTCACAAAAAGAAATCCGGATCATGACCTCAAAGTGAACCATAGACCTAAATGTAAAATACAAAACTATAAAACTTCTTGAAGAAAAACATAAGAGAAGATCTAGGTGGCCTTTGGTTGGTGCTGAGTTTTTGAATACAACACCAACAGTAAGAACCATGAAAAAAAATCTGGTAAATTGTAACTTAATAAAACTTAAAAGACACTGTCAAAAGAATAAAAAGATAAGTCACAGTCTTAGACAAAATATCTGCAAAACACATGTCTGATAAAGCACTTGTATCGAAAATACAAAAAGAATTCTTGAAACTCAACAATAAGAAAACAAACAATCCAATTTTAAAATAGGCAAGAGTATCTGAGAAGACACTACTTTAAAGAAGACATACAGATAGCAAATAAGCAAATGAAAGATGTTCAATGTATTCTGTCTTTTTGGAATTACAAATTAAAACTTTAAGGAGAAATTTCTACACACTAGTTACAACAACAAACAAACACACAAACAAAATACTCCTAAATCTGACCATAGAAATTACTGTCAAGGATAAGCAACAGGAACTCCCATTCTTTAATGATGAAAATTCAAAATGGTATAAACACTTGGAAGAGAGTTTGGCAGTTTCTTAAAAAGCTAAAAAGTCTTACCGTACAACTTAGAATGCACTTCTGTTTAGTTACCTAACTGATTTGAAAACTTATGCTCCACAAAAACCTGCCCATGAATTATTATAACAGCTTTATTTGTAATCACCAAAACATTGGAAGCTAGCTAGATGTCCTTCAATAGAAGAAATGGTATGTAAACTGTGATAATCCATGCTAGGAATTACTATTCCATAATAAAAAATAAATGAGCTGTTAAGCCACAAAAATAGATGGATGAATCATAAATGTGCATTGCTACGCAAGAGAAGCCAGGTGGAAAAGTGTACATATTCTATGATTTCAATTAGATTTGTCTTAGAAAAGGCAAAACTATAGAGACAGTTAAAGGGTCAGTGGTTACCAAGAGTTTAGGGGAGAGAGGAGAGTTGAATAGGTGAAGCACAGGGCAGTGATATTTTGGGGTAGTAAAATTATTCTGAATAGTACTGTAAGGGTAAATACATGAAACTTTGTCAAAACCTATAGAACTTTACAGCACAAAGAGTAAACCTTAATGTATACACATTTTTTAAAAAATCATTCAAGAGGTTGTGGGATCCTGGAATGGAATGTGGAATGTGACAAGACAGAATACCTTTGTTGCAACATTTAAAACAACTTCACTGAAGCAGTATGGGAAAAAGTTGCCAAGCTAAGTAACTTTGGAAATGAGTAGAGTTTGTTAGACGAAAGGCAAAAGAATCTATATATAAGCACTATACTCTAGTTGATAAAGGCGGTTCCCATGAGGTTATTGGTAAACAACTCTGATAGCGCTCTTCATGTACACTGAAACTAAACAATTAAGTAAATGGGTGACCGATGGTAGGAGCCAGGTTTCTTACTGTTGGAGCACGAGATTGCAGATATACCAGGGAAGTAGCCTAGATAGATCCATGTGGTGGTAATGGACCACAGTTGAGGACATCAGTATGAACGCATATTTAGCTTACTATACATATCTATATAGATGATTATAACATAAATATTATAGATATGTATGTACATATACCTGGATTAGTATACACATATATTTTCTTGCTGTATCAGCTGAGAAAATCTAGAAGCAATGATAATCCAGGAGTAATAAACACACCTAACACCTAGATCTTGGTTTCTCATGCCACTCTCCAGTAAAAAGAAGCAAGTCTTCCTGGTAAAATGGTTGGTTCTAGGATGGGATGGGAAATGTACAAGAGGATCCTGGAGCATCTAATGTTAGATGCTAATAATAGGGGAAACTGGGTGAGAGGTATATGTGAACTTTCTGAACTATCGTCACAATTTTTTTCTAAACCTACAACTGTTCTAAAATAAAATGTGCATTTTAAAAGAAATCTTGTATTAAACCAAAAGAAGGTGACAGGAAGAGCAGAAAGCTTGAAGACGCAAGATGGACAAATAGACAAGAATGACAAAAACTAAATAATTACATAAAGTTTATGTAAATTAACACGATTAATTACAAGGCAGAGATTATCAGACTGAATTAAAAAGCAGAACTCATCTATAAGTTCTCTAAAATTGGTGCATTTAAAATATAAAGGTACATAGAGATTAAAATGAAAAAGATGGAAAAAGATATATCATGAAACCTGTAACCATAAGAAAGCTAGAGTGTTTATGTTAATATCAAATAAAACAGGCATCAACACAAGGGGTATAACCAAAGGTAAAGGACATTTTAAATGTGTGCTGAATTCTACAATTTTTTAAGTGGGAGAGTTATGCTACATGATCTCTAAAGTCCTTCCTGCACTTAGGTCTATGATTTCAGAGCTGGGCAGTAGCAAGTCTGATTTCTAAAAGTGAGCACATTTTGCTATGCCTTTACAAGTCCATAAAGAGCTGTTGGATTCACATGGATAAATTCTGATGGGCTCTTTCTGAACAGATTTGTCTATGCAGAATATTTTGCTTGAATTCAAATGAAATTTGTATTAACCTTTGTAAGTGGGAAAGCATAAAGAAATAGCACAAGAGGTTTATAGATATACCAGACCATAAGATTGTTTGCTTATGAAAGCTGTTGAACTATTTATTTGATCCACACCACACACATTTTGGAGGCATTGAACTGAAAGCATAATAAACCCTAGGGTGTGTATGTATTCTAGAGAAAGAGAAAGACTTGCATTCAAATGAATTCATTTTGTTTAATGTGTGTTTTAGAACCATACTTGAAAAGTACTCTATGAAATTTCAATTTGATTTTGCTGGGTCACTTTCATTTAGAACTTAGTAAAATCTAAACTGCCTAATGAATATTTAGTATACCTTAGACAGTTCAGCATTTTCAAACCTGCCTTGAATTGAAACATCAAAACAAAAATATATTATTTTTCAAATTCTTCTTGGTCTTTTCCTTTTGTGCCTCCTAAATAAAGATAGTCTAATAGCTGGAAATACTAGTATAAAATGAAGAGGGTAATGAGTAGGAAAAGAAAGGTTAGGAAGTTATAATCAATTGTGAGCTTCAATACAATCATAAACCATGAGAGCTAAATAAGTCCTATCTCTGCCTTTGCCCTTTCCTTGTAATAATGCACACAGTGATTTTTAAGTAATATAAGCCTGAGATAAAAACTGCAAAGTTCAATTATCGTAGCAATGAAACATTAGGAAGGAAAAGTGGATATGTTTGAATAAGTGATAAGAGTGGAAATATGACAACATAATGACATTTCAGTAACAAAATTAATTTACCTCAGATATAAGAGGGTACATTTTCCCATACTGATTGCTACTGATTTTTTGGTTTAGTTTAGTGAATTGTAAATCTCCCTGCTGCTGTTCTAGTAATTATATATTCACTTGAATTATGAAAATGATTACCATAATATTTCAGCCTCTAGGGAGCTATAGACGTTTTCCATCACTTGAACCATTTTCTCCATTTTTTAAAACTCAGAATGATTTATATTCATTTTTTAAATTGTATAGAAATATTTGTAAGTTTAAATGTGATGTGATTCTAACTTGCATTGTTGAAAAAACTAATTTCCAATGGTTTTGTGTGTGTTTGTGTGTGCATGAAATAACCAAGTTATTTCATTGGAATGCACAGAAACGGAAGAACTAATGAGTTACTAAGTTGAGAAAGAACAGAAACGGAGCAATGAAAGACTGAAACATGAGGGCATTTCCCCATAGGACCATTTTAAATTTAAACCTAATAAAGATGTATCAGGGAAGGGGCAGCAAAAATGGGGAAAGACAGCATATAGTCTCACTTTGTGTATGTATAATAGAAAAGGTAATGGCAAATTGTGGAGAACAAAAATGTTTAGAGATTCTTTTGCAGTGGAAATCTTAGAATTGAGAGAGAAAACCAACTTGAAAACAAATAGCATATTACCATTTTCTCTTTCTTTTTCTTTGGCTCCATAAATAGGTACTAAGTCTCTGCCAAATGCAAGGACACTTAGCTAACTGTGAGGATGGCAGGATATACAGCACTGGTCCTCAAGGAGCTTTCATTCCCTTAATCGGAAGGCAGTGAGGGAGCTTGCCCATTGCGTTGTGTGGCAGTTAGGAAAGAATGTTTAGATAAAAATTCAGAGAGTGAATACTCTTAGGATGTCCCAAGGCCAGTATTTTTTTTTTCTGTTTTTCTTTTTGAACCAGGGTTTTTCTGTCACCCAGGCTGGAGTGCAGTGGCATGATCATGGATTCACTGCAGCCTCGATCTCCCAGGCTTGGGCACAAGCAATCCTCCCACTTCATCCTCCCAAGTAGCTGGGACTATAAGCATATATCACCTCACAATGCCAGTATTTCTGTGAGCCTCAGTTCCACTTCCCTCAGCACCATCTTACTGATGGAGTCAGTAACTGATGGGTTAATTCCATGTATATAAACTTAAGATCATTTCCAGTCATGAGCTGTTCAAGCCCCATCCTTCTTCCTACCTGCTTTCCTCCTTGTGTCCAGCATTAGTATGAGGTCATGTTTCTAAATACACATTTTAAAGACCCCACAGTTCTGAATGAAGCAAAATCATTCGCAGTTCCAAAATGTGTAAAGAATGTGGGCTTGGGGTTTGGGCAGTTCAGATGCCGTCTACTCTTCTCATGTGCATATAATTTCTTCCTGGATAAAGTGTGCATTCACATGAATTTCTCTTCAGTTCTGACTTTCCATCTTGAAGTGATCCTCTCTGCAGATTGGAGTCCTTCAGCCCTGGGAAGACACTATAAGCTTCGTTAGTGTTATTCTGCTGTCCCAGAGCTCAGCAGCCTATGGAAATAAATTTGGCTGTATTAGAATGTACTCTTGGCTGGGTGCAGGGGCTCACACCTGTAATCACAGCACTTTGGGAAGCCGAAGTGGGTGGATCTCCTGAGGTCAGGAGTTCAAGACCAGCCTGGCCAACATGATGAAACCCCGTCTCTACTAAAAATGCAAAATTAACCGAGCACAGCGGCATGTGCCTGTTATCCCAGCTACTCAGGAGGCTGAGGCAGGAGAATCGCTTGAACCTGGGAGATGGAGGTTGCAGTGAGCCAAGATTGCACCACTGCACTCCAGCCTGGGCAACAAGAGTGAAACTCTGTCCCCCGGACCACCCCTCAAAAAAAGGAATGTATTCTCAAATTTTGCTGTTTGGATATGCCCCTGTATCCTCCTGCAGCCCCCAAAAAACAACAGCAAACCTGGTTACGCAGAACCCGGCACATGACAAGCTTTCTCTGTGAAGTGTTTCTGGAAGACCTCAGAGGGTGTCTCATGGGTGCCAAACACGTCTGTGCTGCTGGCTGCTGTATGCCCCCCATCCCATCTCCATTGCCACTGGCTGGCTGCCAGCAGTGACGCAGGTGCTCTGCCACTGCATTTTCAGGAGCTCCCCTTGGTGCTTGTTGTAGAAACTCAGGTTTGCAAGATGTTATTATTTTGGTTGCAGTTGTTTAATTTACATCAGCAGACAATTTTTTTCCAAAGCACTAAGTTAGTTCTGTCTATCCTGAATTTGCACTTCCAAATTTGGGGAAATTTTAGGCTATGTTATTGGAAGACATAATTATTTGTATATAAAATCTTTAAATTCAGCATTACCAAGTAATTTTTAATAACGCAGATACAAAAAGAACAAAACTAGAATGACCCGAAGTATGTCATTATAACTCATGGAAAAAAATCGTAATCGACAAAACTTGAAAGCAAGCAGTATGTCCTTCAGCAGGTAGGTGAATGGATGAATGAACTGCAGCACATCCAGACAATGGAATATTATTCATGCCTAAAAAGAAATGAGCTATCAAGCCATGAAAAGATACAGAGGAAAATGAAATGCATGTTACTAAGTGAAAGAAGTCAATCTGAAAAGGCTACATACTTTACAATTTCAACTATATGACATTCTGGAAAAGACAAAACTATGGAGACAGTAAAATGATCAGTGGTTGCCAGGAGCTGTGGGGAGGGAGAGATGACCAGGCCAAGCACAGACGATGTTTAGGGCAATTGCTATCCTGTTTGATGCTGTAATGATAGATATATGTCATTTTAAATTTGTCCAAATGGCACAGAATGCACAGCACCAAGAGTGAACTCTAATGCAAACTATGGACTTTGGATGATAATGATGTGTCAATGTAGGTTTATCAATTGTAACAAATGTACCACTCTGATGGGTGATATTGATAATGGGGGAGGCTCTGCATGTGTCAGGATACAGGATATATGGGAAATCTGTTATCTTCCTCTTAGTTTTGCTGTGAACAAAAACCTGCTCTAAAAAAGTAAAATGTTTAAAAAACATAAAAGTTATGGTATTTATTTATATTTTACTCCCTAGTCTATATAAATAGCTTTGAACATCATTACTTTTATCTAAACTATCAATTTTTTTTAATAAAATGCAATCTGTTTTACATTGTCTTTTCTGAGGATGTAACACTGAGCTTAGTTTCTCTTGAGAAAAAAAACCAAAGTCCCTTTCTTTTTTTGTTTCATTTTTATAGATTTAGGGGGTACAACCTACACTGATATATTGTGTAGTTGTGAAATCTGGGTGTTTAGTGTAACCGTCACCCAAATAATTTACTAGTTAGGTAATTTCTCAACCCTGACCCTGCCCCCACCCTCCCACCTTTCCAAGTGTCCAACGTCTACTATTTCCACTTTCTATGCACACATTATTTAGCCCCTACTTATAAGTGGGAACATGTGGTATTTAATTTTCTGTTTTTGAGTTGTTTCACTGAAGATAGTGACCTCCAGTTCCATCCAGGTTGCTGCAAAAGACATGACAATTTCATTATTTTTATGGCTAAGTAGTATTCCATGGTGTGTGTACGTAAATATACAAAGAAAGATGTGATATATAGAAAGATATAGAAAATAAAGAAAATGTGATACGTCCAATCATCTGTAGATGGACACTTAGGTTGATTCCATATCTTTGCTATTGTGAATAGTGCAGCAATAGACATATGAGTACAGGTATCTTTTTGATATAATGATTTCTTCTCTTTAAGTAGATACCCAGTATCTAGTAGTAATCCCAGTAGGACTGTTGGATCATATAATAGTTCTATTTTTATTTCTTTGATAAATCTCCATACTGTGTTTCATAGAGGTTGTACCAATTTACATTCCCACCAACACTGTGTAAGCATTCCACTTTCTCCACATCCTCACCAACATAAGCTGATTTTGACTTCTTATTAATAGTCATTTTGACTGGTATAATATCTCAATGTAATTTTAATTTGCATTGCTCTGATGATTAGTGATGTTGAACATTTGTTTATGCTTCTTGGCCATTTGTACAAAGTCACTTTTTTATTTACTATTGAAGATAAATTGTAACTGCCAATGGCCATAGATACGTGGGCCTCATGTTGTTTTCAAACAGAACAATGCAGAATTATTCTAAAGCAGCTTTTATTTGCCAAAAATAAAACGAGTTGTGTATTATAAATAACAATTGAACACAAATTGTTTGGTTGTGTCCCTTTTTAACCCGGTATACAATTGTTTGTAAAAGCAAAACATCTGGTTCTAATTTTATGGGTATCAAAGCTACCAGAAGAGGCAACATGCAAACAATGAGCAGATTTGTCACTTTTGTAAGAGGGTCAAAAATCTTCTACTGCTTACACCCTAATGTGAGCAAAATGCTGGTCTTTCTCTTCACTTAGAGCAGAATTTTTGATCCCTCCCCAGATGTTCTCAAGGCCAAAGCCAGAAGTAAGGTCCCACTTCCTGATTTTCCAAATGTGGTTACAGATTTGGTTATCTTATTTTCTGTAAAGATCACAGGAAAATGGGTATCATTCATTCCAGGAACCTGTAGAATTAGAAAACAATAATTTAGGACTGCAATATGAGCCCCTTGCAGCTCTTTTCTAGGGGAGTGATTGAGTGATATGCTCCCATCTGATTGTGGAAATCCAGTGCCATAGAGTCCTACAGAAGCCCCAGTCATTTTTCCATGCTGACTACTCTGCTCAGATCATCTTTTTAACAGCTTTAAAAATACTATATATTTATTTGGAAGAGTAAACAAGCATTCTATTATTGTAGTGCTAATATTCTTCTATTTTCTCATTGAGTTAAATTAGATGCTGATTTTGTGAAGAACAGAGTCATTTTTATCACTGATTACACAGCACAAATCTCTGATATATGCAGGCTTCCTTCCTGATATAAGCATCCTCACTCATTCATTCATGTCCACTTCAGCATTGGCTTTAACATCCAAATTCTGGGTTCCATGCAGATCTTGTGTTCTCTGAGAAGCCTGTCTTATACACAGTCATGGAACAACAGAACTGGGAGATCACTCTAGCTCACATTACAGATGAGGACACTGAAACAGAAAGCTATTAAGCAATTTGCCTGAGATCATCCACCTGGTTAGCATAAACGTTCAGACTGAGCTGGGGTCTCATACGGCTCAGGCTACACTGGCTTTGCCATTTCCTGGATTCTTACAGTCTACTACATTATTTCACACTTAATTATGTATTGCCTGGCCATACTCCCTAAGTAATTCTTGTGTCTGGACCTTGCCTTACAGGCATATCTTGTTTTATTTTGCTTTGCTTTATTGTCCTTTTAATGCAAGTTTTACAAATTGAAAGTTTGTATTAAACCTGTGTTAAGCAAGTCTATTGGTGCCATGTTTTCAACAACATGTGCTCACTTCATCTCTCTGTCATGTTTTGATAATTCTTGCAATATATAAAATTATTTTTATATCTGTTACGGTGATATGGGATCAGTTATCTTTGGTGTTCCTATTGTAATTGTTTTGGGGTGTCATGAATCACACCCATATTAGACAGTGAACTTAATATATAAATATTGCGTGTGTTCTGACTGCTGCAGTGGCAGGCCAATTGCAGCCTCTCTCTTTCCTCAGGCCTCCATGTTCTTTGAGACATTACAATATTAAAAGTAGGCCAATTAATGACCCTACAATGGCCTCTAATTTTTCAAAGGAGAGAAAGAGTTGTACCTCTGACTTAAAATCAAAAGTTAAAAATGATTAAGATTAGTGAGGAAGGCATGTCAAAAGCTGAGACAGGCCAAGAGCTAGGCCTCTTGAGCCAAAGATAGCCAAGTTGTGAATGCAAAGGGAAAGTTCTTGAAGGAAATTTAAAGTGCTAATCCAGTGAGCACATGAAAGACAAGAAAGCAAAATAGGCCAGGCATGGTGGCTCATGCCTGTAATCGCAGCACTTAGGAGGCCGAGGTGGGTAAATTGCTTGAGGCCAGGAATTCCAGACCAGCCTGGCCAACATGGTGAAACCTCATCTCTACCAAAAATACAAAAACTAGCTGAGCTTGGTGGTGCACCTGTTATCTCAGTTACTTGGGAGGCTGAGGCAGGAGAATTGCTTGAACCCGGGAGGTGGAGGTTGCAGTGAGCAGAGATCACGACACTGCACTCCAGCCTGGGTGGCAGAGTGAGACTCTGTCCCCCACCCCCGCCTGCCAAAAAAAAATAAAAGACAGAAAGCAAAACAGCTTTATTGCTCATAGGAATAAAGTCTCAGTGGTCTAGATAGAAGACCAAATCAGACACAACATCACCTCAAGCCAAAGCCAAATCCACAGCAAGGCCCTAACTTTCTTCAATTCTATAAAGGCTGACAAAGGTGAGGAAGCTGCAGAAGAAAAGTCTGAAGCTAGCAGAGGTTGGTTCATGAGGTTTAGGAAAGAAGTTTCTCTATCATAGAAGTACAAGGTGAAGTAGTAAGTGCTGATGAAGAAGCTGCAGCAAGTTATCCAGAATATCTAGCTAAGATCATTGATGAAGACGGCTACGCCAAATAACAGTTTTCCATATAGACAGAACAGCATTTTATTGGAAGAAGATGACATTAAGGGTTTTCATAGCTAGAGAGGAAAAGTCAAGGCCTGGCTTCAAAGCTTCAAAGGACAGGCTGGCTGTCTTGTTAGGGGCTAAGGCAGCTAGTGACTTTAACTTTAAGCCAATACTCATTTACCATTCCGAAAGCCCTAGGACCCTTAACAATTAAGCTAAATCTATTCTGCCTGTGCCCTATAAATGGAAAAAGAAAGCCTGGATAACAGCATATCTATTTACAGCATGGTTTACTAAATATTTGAAGTCCGTTGTTAAACCCTACTGCTCAGAAGAAAAAAAAAGTTTCTTTCAAAATATTACTGCTTATTGACAATGCATCTGGTCACCCAAGAGCTTTGATGGAGATGTACAAGGAGGTTAATGGTGTTTTCACACCAGCTGACACAACACACATTGTGAAGCCTGTGGACCAAGAGTATTTTTGACTTTCAAGTGTTATTATTTAAGTAATATGTTTTGGAAGGCTATAGTGCCATAGATAGTAATTCCTTTGATATACCTGGGGAAAGAAAATTGAAAACCATCTGAAAAGAATTTACCATTCTAGATGTCATTAAGAACATTCATGATTCAAGGAAGGAGGTCAAAATATCAATGTTAACTGGAGCTTGGAAGAAGTTGATTTCAACCCTCATGGATGACTTGGAGGAGTTGAAGACTTCAGCTAAGGAAGTAACTGCAAATGTGGTAGAAATGGCAAGAGAACTAGAATGAGAAGTGGAGCCTGAAGATGTGACTGAATTACTGCAATCTAGTAGTAGACGGGAAGTCACTTCATATGGATAGGCAAAGAAGGTGGTATATTGAGATGGAATCTACTCCTGGTGAAGATGCTGTGAACATTTTTGAAATGACAACACAGGATTTAGAATATTACATCAACTTATCTGATAAAAAAATAGCAGGAAGGTATAACAGGATTGACTCCAATTTTGAAAGAAGTTCTACTGGAGGTAAAACACTATCAAGCAGCATCACATGCTACAGAGAAATTTTTTGTGAAAGGAAGAGTCAATAGATGTGGCAAACTTTATTTTGTCTTATTTTAAGAAATTGCCATAGGCACCCCAATCTTCAGCAACCACCACCCTGATCAGTCAGCAGCCATCGACATCAAGGCAATAGCCTGGGCAGCATAGTGAGACCCTGTCTCTACAGAAACTTTTCAAATTAGCCAGGAGTGGTAGCATGTGCCTGTAGTCCCAGTTACTGAGGAGGCTGAGGTGGAAGGATTGCTTGAGTCGAGAAGGTTGGGACGGCAGTGAGCCGAGATCATGCCACTGTACTCTAGCCTGGGTGACAGAGTGAGACCGTGTCTCAAAAAACAAAAAACAAATACCATCGTAGCAAACCCACCAACACAAAGATTGAAACTTGCTGAAGATGATCGTTAGCAATTTATAGCAATGAAGAGTTTTTTAATTAAAATATATGCATTGTTTCCTTAGACATAATGACATAATGCTATTGCACACTTACTAGGCTACAGTGGCTACAGTATAGTGTAAACATAAACTTAACTTTTTTTTTTTTTTTGAGGTGGAGTTTCACCCTTGTTGCCCAGGCTGGAGTGCAATGGCAAGATCTCAGCTCACTGCAGCCTCCGCCTCCCGGGTTCAAGCGATTCTCCTGCCTCAGCCTCCCAAGTAGCTGGGATTACAGGCAAGCGTAACCACACCCAGCTAATTTTTTGTATTTTTAGTACAGATGGGGTTTCTCAATGTTGGTCAGGCTGGTGTCGAATTCCCGACCTCAGGTGATCTGCCCGCCTCGGCCTCCCAAAGTGCTGGGATTACAGGTGTGACCAACCTCACCAGGCTGTAAACATAACTTTCATACACACTGGGAACAGAAAAAATTCACGTGATTTGTTTTATTGCAATATTGGATGGTCTGGAACTGAACCCACAGTATCTCCGGAGTATGCCGGTATCTATTGACTGCTGACTCCACGGTAGGTGCTCCAGAAACGTGTTAATTGACTGGCAAAAATGTGCAGTGATGTGGATAACGCCTCTTGAAAACCCTATCGTGAGACCAAAATGAAGAATTCCATTAAGATTTTGTGTTCTCATCCTTGAGATCTTGAAAATATTCCACAGAACGGTGGTAATCCTGCCTATTTTAAAAATCAGTACATTCAATATCGATATTGCTAACTTTTAACAGATAAAATCCCTTTTTAAAAAAGGAAGTAAAATCATATGGGACACAGTATCTTTCACTACTGGAAAAGGTAAAGAATGAGACATTAGCTCATTGTGTCCTTCCATACCCAATGCTAAGAAATTGGCATGAAAACTAAAAAAATTCAGCCAATTATCTGGATATTTTAGTTTGTCTTATAAAAAATGGTATATAGAAGGCGTCCAGAATTCTATCATTGCTTAGTTGTCAGTCAAAAAGTCATTGTTATACATAAATATGATGTCATATCAATGCATAATAAACCTTCCTGTCAATCAAAAGTATTGTTATGTATAGACTTTGTGTCAGACATTTTAGGCTTTGCATTGAGATATGAAGTGCATGCAAATTAAAGAAAATTTAAAGATGGCATGGCCACAGGCAAATATATTTTAATAGAGTTAGACTTTACAGGGAAATTGACACTTGAGCAAAAACACAAAACGCAAGTAAATACAGTTTGCTAAAAAAGGGAGCTAGGTTTTGAAGGGGGAAAGAAAAGATATAATTTTATCACATACAGGCATATTTTCAATTCAGACAATCCACCCATTAGGATTCTATAATTGAAAATGGGAAAATAATAAATGGAGACAAGGTATCAAGACAAACTTCTTGTCTCAATTTCTATATTTTCTAATATTTAAAAAATTGTTTAATATAGCTAATTTTCAAAGGAATTATCTGCCCAGTTATATATTACATTGTATGAGATCTAATATCAAAAATAATACTTTCACCTGAAAATTTAACTCTTTAATTCAATTTTCCATTCTAATCACTGGCAAAATTTCTTTCACTGAGGGAGTCAGCAAGACTCCTGAAGAACAGGGATTATGTAGTTGTTCACCTCCTGTCTTGCCCTGAACTCCTCCCTTTATGTGTTCTGTTATCCCTGCTTTGGCTGCAACTAAAATAATAATAATAAAAAAAGAATCAGCAGGAGGCATAGGACCGGAATGGTCTAAACTCACATCCTATCTAATCCAAGCAGCATGAACCTTCTGCAAGGGTGCCTGCCTAAACCTGGTACTTGCAGAATTCCACGTAAGACTTTGGCCACTTAACCTGACACAGGTTCTTCATCTACAAACATATAAAATGAAAATAAATTCATTTACATAATAAACATATATTGAATACTTTCTATGTTCTAAATACTAGGATAGAGTAATAAGCTAGAACATGGTTCAACCTAGAAGGGGGGGCAGACTTTAATACATTTTCTGGTTCACTATTTAGTTGCAGGTGGGATAAGTGCTCTTGAGCAATATACTTGAGGATGTACAGCAGGGGACTCATATACTCAAAGGCAGAGTTAGAGGTGGGTGGGTAGATAGTCCAGGTGAAAAAAAACCTAGCAATTACAAATGGGCTTTGTGAACCTCACATATAATGATTGTAAGAAAGCACCTTGCAATGTATGAGGGGCTAGATACATTCTAGTATTATTAATTTGGAATGTATAATTATGAACATCAGCACTTAGTTGAGAGTTAATTAACATCATAGATACTAAAAATATATGTGTTGAATTGATTGCTTTTATAGACCCCTTCACAGTCTGAATTTATTCCAAAAATAAAGTCATGCAATATTAAATGTAAGTTACAAAGTCCAAGAAGGCAAGAGTCATGTTATCTTGTTTACTTCTAGTACAGGCCCTAGCATATAGAAGACACTAAATAAACACATGATTTGGGGCTAAACAAAACAATAGACTTTAATTGTTCCATTTTACAGATAAGAAAACTAAAGACCAGAGAAACTGCTTTGTTCAAGGTCAGAGGCTACAAATTAGTACAAATAAAATCTGAACCTAGGATTTTGCTCTTAATCCATTAATAATAGTAAAATTTGTGAAAATAATATGTGATATCCATTGATTACTGACACAGGGGATAAGATCAAAAATGATTTGAGAGGAGATCATTTTCTTCTTAGGAACAAACAAACAAAACTTTCTGGTAACATATTGTATGTATTGCTTTTCTTTTGCAGCAGGCTGAGATTAAATTTCTACCACATAGGTCACCTTGCTACCCCTTACAGAGGTTAGGGTGGAACTCAGCAACAAAAAAGTAAGGGGTATGAGTGCCAATTACTGATAGTTAATCTTGAATGCTTCGCAATGGTCAAAAGCAGGCTAATAAGAGGAATATCATTTTCTCATAAAGCTGAAAAGGTTTGGGGAGAAAATTCATTCTCTTAGTGGAGAGTTTTTTTAACGTGTGTAATTGAGTGGTAATACTGCTGTAGCTAAGACTAGAAGGCCCCGCGTATTTTGTATCTATTGTTGTATGGCAAATTATCCTAAAACTTAGAGTCTTAAAACAACAATAAAAAATTATCTTACAGACTTTCTGTGGTTTCAAAACATTTGTTATCTCACACAATTATTGTGGGACAGGAAGTTAGAATTGGTTAAGCTGGATGATTATGGCTTGGGGTCTGTTATGAGTTTGTAGTTAAGATGTCAAATGGTGCTACAGTCATCTGAAGGTTGGATGAGAGCCGAGGAAGTCACCTCCAAGATGGTTCATTCACAGGCCTGGTGCTGCTGGCTGTTGTCAGGAGTCCTTAGTTCCTCACCATGTATACCTCTCCATAGGGCTAAGGGTCTTCATGGAACAGTTGGCATTTTCCAAAGTACTTTCCAAGAAAGCAAGGTGGAAGGCACAATATCTTTTACGGCCTAACCCCAAAGATCATACTTCATCGTTTCTGCAGTATTAGAAGTTATTCTGTGTGGAAGAGGATGGCACAAAGGCATAAATACCAAGAGACAAAACTTACTGATGGCCATATTGGAAACTGGCCACCAGATCACCCAAGATCACATGCTCTTCCAGGAAAGAAAGTGGACATTGGGACCACAGTATAAAAAAGTGCCTATAGTACACCAGTTGCACCTGGTTGGTAAATTACAATGTAATAGAATAAAACCTTCACTTGCTTACCTTTTTGTAAAGCAAGGGAACTATTAAAATTTCTCAACTTAGGTTCAAACAAACAAACACCAAGCATAATAAGGAAGCATAAAATGTAGAAAAACATTCTTCCCTAGTATCAGGGGACATATTTCGTGTCAAGTTTGAAATAATTGGTAACCAGAAGGGACTATATACGCTGGCAGAATTGTTCTGAAAATATCTTCATCCTGCTGATCAATTCACAGCGAGATGCTGGTAACAGTCAGAGGAGGTCACAAAGTTTCACTTGCTAGATAGAGAAAAGATGTTCCATGAAGGAGGTAGAGGAACTGAGAGATACAGGAAGTTTGTAAAAGGGCAGAAAGGTGATCTACCCTAAAGGTGGATTGCAACTCACCCAGAGATCCCTGAAACTACTCACCACCAAACCAAGCAATAGTACAACCTCATCACACAAGGCAAGGGATTTAGACTATTTGAGACCAATTCACCATTGAGTACCTCTGTGGGAAGCTTGGTTTAATCCCAAAGATGGGTATTTCTTACTATCCTGAGGAAGTGTACATTCTCACAGTTCCTAGCCAAAAATGAAATGTGCTTCAAAGTAGGTCAGAGCTGAATAACAGCTCTCAGGAGCTTTGCAGTACACCATGCATGTAAAGGAAGAAAAACAAAGCTGCTTAGAGAAGAGTCTCAATTCTCAGATTTTAGAATGAATTCTGTAGCTGGAATGAAGAAAAAAATAATTCTTTTGCATTTACTGAATGATTGCAGTAAGAACTTTGGCCATTAATTTTATCCTCTAGCTTGATTTTTCTTCTTCATACTTCCATTTTTTTAGGAATTTGGGTGTATGATAACTACTCCAGATTCTGTTATTAACAAGTAACTTACAGATTTTTGTTTCAATAAACTTTCTGAAAGTTAATCTAATCATACCCAACTAAGTGTTTCCAACTGTTTCTTATTATCCGCAGTAACAATTTTTTTTTTTTTAGACGGAGTCTCGCTCAGTCGCCCAGTCTGGAGAGCAGTGGGGCGATCTCGGCTCACTGCAAGCTCCGCCTCCCGGGTTCACGCCATTCTCCTGCCTCAGCCTCCTGAGTAGCTGGGTCTACAGGCGCCTGCTACTACGCCCGACTAATTTTTTTGTATTTTTAGTAGAGACGGGGTTTCACCGTGTTAGCCAGGATGGTCTCGATCTCCTGACCTCGTGATCCGCCCGCCTCGGCCTCCCAAAGTGCTGGGATTACAGGCGTGAGCCACCGTGCCTGGCCTATCTGCAGTAACAATTCTTAACCATGGAATAATTTGGAGAATACACACATTTGACACTAAAAACAGTTAACGTTTTGATAGGTAGATAGATTATAGATAGATAGATAGATAGATAGATAGATAGATAGATAACTGGGTGGGAAGATGAATGAATAGATGGGTGGGTGGATGGATGGACAGATGGATGAATGGATGGGTAAGTGGGTAGGTGGGTGAATGGATGGATGGATGAATAGATAGATGATAGAAAGATAGGTAGATAGATAGATAGATATAGATGTGTTTTCTTGAATGGCAAGCAAGGGGCTGCAGTTCGTCTTGAGCAAGCAAAGGTGAATGATGCAGCTATAATTTGTGTTCATTAATGGTATCACAGTGAAATAGAGATTGAGAGCTCTTGGCCTGCATTATAAAGTGGATCTTCCCACCTACCATTTTGAACCATGTCTAATGGAGCACCTTTCACTTACTGTTCCTGCACATGCCCCACATTTTCCCACTCCCAGGCCTTTGCTCATATTGCCCCCCAGCTTCTCTGATTAGCTTTACATGTCTAAATCCTAGCTAATTTTTAAAAGCTTACTGCCACCTTCTCATAAATGTCAAGTCCAACAGACCCTTTTCTCTGAACTCCTAAAAATATCTTTGCTTTTGCACTCCTCATTTGATTTTTGATTCGTGACACGGGGGAGGTTTAGACAAAGTGATTAATTAATTAAACTAATATTTATTGAGCATATATTATGCTCTTTGTATTGAGAATACAAAGTTGATTAATCACAGACTCTTTCTGGTAAGTTCATAATTTAACAGTAATGATAAATAAGTAAGTTACCGCTCAGTGTAATAAATTCTATGATAGCTGTAAGGATGGAGGGCTGGAGAAGCACAGAAAAAGAAGTGACTTGAAATTCATATATTTAGTTTAACAAACACATACAAGGAAACTACTACTGCCAGGAACTGTTCAAAGTGCTTCATAAACATTAACTGATTTTATCCATCTGACAATTCTATAAGGTAGGTATTGTTATGATCCCCAGTTTACAGATGAAACTGAGACATGCTCACACAGCTAGTAGGTGGAGAGCCAGGATCTGACCCAGGCAGTCTCAATCCTGAATCTTTGCTAAGAATTATTAGACAATGCTGGCTCAATGGCTATTGAATAATCAAAAAAGTTTTGAAAATAGACTTATTTTCATGAATAAACTCCATGAACGTTCATGGAATAAATGGCTTCATTCATGATGGATGTATAGGAGTTTGATAGGCAAAGAGAAGAAAGAAGGGCATTCCTGCTAGATAGATGGAGATGTTTCAAGATGTATAAATATGAAAGAACAGAAAGTATCTGGAAAACTGGAAAGTTCCCCTGGCAGGTACTGGGCCTGTCTGCCTCATTTCCATTCTCACTCTTTCCCTGTTTGACACTGTATCACAGGAGAGCTACTGCTACAGCAATGTTGTCCAAACATATGCATGAAGCCAGGTTTGCCACTGGGAGGCCCTGGACAGACACTGTAGACAAGAAGGCAAGCAGTGGTCAGAATATTTTTCCCAGACTCTTGTCTGTGGCAGGGCCTCTGGCAACAGCTGTGTCTCCTGGTCAGTTCCCACCAGGTGACTGGGCCCTGGTCCGCTGTCTTGCCCCTTGGATCCTCTAACCCAGATGTGCTGGGTGCCCTGCAGTTGCTAACCTCTGAGCTGTTGCACCATCCTCTGCCCAGTTTCTCACCGCTTCTATTTCCTGTGTAAGCAACCCCTAGTACTAATTCATTTTACATACACACAAAAAATTTTAGATAGGCTTTTGTTTTCATGCTTAGACCCTGACTGACATATTCAGAATATTAGGGACAGAGTGTATTCACCATATGTGAGAGAAAAAGGTATGAGTTTCTCATTGACGAACAGAATAAAAAATTGCAATGATAGTTTATTTACTCTTTACCTTATATTTTAAAACCTTATGTTTTGCATAATGCATAATTAGTAAAGTGATATGTCCATAAATAATATATTATGTATTAAATGTAATGTATAATTTAAATCTATTTAATGTATTTATAGTTATACAGTATTTATAAATTATACAAGATATCTATGTACTATATATAAACATATGTTATATTTTATGCATCTTAATAATTCTATTTAAATGTATTTAAATATATATTTTAAGATATTCATTCTCAAAGACTGTTTCTCCGATGGAGCATTCATCTGAAAACTTTAGAGTCTCTAATACAAAAAGACATTTAGTCAGTATCATTATAATGTCAACAAAATTCATAAGTCATCAGCATCTCCTCTTAGTGATAGGCACTGTTGTGTGAGAACTCATGATAGAAGCATATTAAAACAGCTTCACAGAATGACTTATGTCACTTATGTGGGCACAATGACTACTAAGACTTCTACAGTTGATTTTATTTTCTCCCAGGCATGGCTGAACTAAATTAAGCACTCTAACATTGGCCAGAAAAAGAAAGATGGAAGGAAGAAGGAAGAAGGAAAAAGAAAGGATGGAAGGAAGGAAGGAAAAATGAAAGAAGGAAGGAAGGAAATCTCAAATAGCATGTGGTCAGAAATGAAAAGGTAAAAATGGCCCCAAAGGTCCAGCTTCCATCCTTGCAACACTGTCCCCAGAGTGAAAGATTCTTAGAAGACCAGAAATCCTTCCTTTTGGATGGTTGGTGCCTATAGAGGATATGTGGCTCCTCCTGAATGTGGTTCAGCCCCCGGTTCCTCTTTTCCTACTCTGGGGATCAATAAAAGAATAGGGCTGAACCCAGGGTATCAGATAGACAGAATAGCTGCAATGCCCAGTGAAATGCACAATTTATTTTTATTTTTAGATGAAAATAATAAAAAGTGTCTGTAGATAGAAGTTTTAATATTTTTTTCTGCATTCTACTTTGGAAACTACTGTTTTATGTAATTTTCCACTTTATTTGGCATTTTTAAATGCTAGTCACCTTTATTTGTGTTTTCAAATGACCTGAGGGGAAGAACAGAAGGAGTGGGGAGAGAGAAACAGCTAAAATAGCTTAACACCTGAGCTTGCTCATACTGCTCTTTTGCAAGTTCATGCTTCTGCACCAGTTGGTTCAATCTGGACAGAACCCTGGGAAATGAACAAACCTATAGAATAATTTCTCTGTGTTGTGCTTCATGTTTCAGAGTAGCTATTTTCAACTAGTATCACAGAGTGCTGCTACCAGCAACTGTTAAATTACATAGGAATTTGACTTCACACTGTTTATTGAAGAAATGCTAGAGCATATTAAGTGAATTTTTATTGTGCTTATATATTTCTCAAATGCAACTACAATGCTAAGTGCCTTTATTAGAGTGAGCAAGTTGATAAAGCATTTATAACATATAAATATTTGAAATTTATATTTTCAAATAGTCTATGAAAACAACATAAAGTAATGGTTTACTTTGGTGTTTGGGAAAAGAAAGAGTAACTAGAAATAGAAATAAAAAGTCTTGATATAGAAAACACATATCATCTACATTGGAGATTTAAGAAGATTATAAAAATATATGTGTCGTAAAATATATGCTTTGTGGGGTAATTTTAAGAAATAAGAAAATCTAATCTTATTTGAGAAAACCAGCATTTAATTTCCTTTGGGTTCTCCCTTTTCTATCTTTGAGAATTGCAAATCTCTCAGTATTATCTGTTATATATCTTCCCTAGTGCTTAGTTCTTGGATTTATGTTCTATTCAACTACTGATTGCATTAAATAACAATGTTAATTCTCAGTAGTTATTAGTTGAAATTAGCTAAATTATTTGAAATCTCCCTATCAGGATAAAACTACAATTTAAAATACCTTTGTTACTTTTTTGGCAAGGGAACACCATTATTATAATCACCATCTCCTAAAGATAGTATTTATTACTTCTGTGTAGAATAGAGAACATTACAAGATTCACCTTTAAAAGAGCACACAATGTAAGGATAAAAAGGTAGAAATCATTTTCATCTCTCCACGCACCCATAGGTTACTGTTAAGAGAAGAAATAAGATTTGCTTCACAAACAAGCGTATGCGTCACTGAACAGACAACAGCTCACTAGGTATATTCTGAAAAGCTTTTTAAAAGCATATGAAAGAGTGAACAGTGGATTTTTCTTTTTCATACTAGGCTGCAAGCTATAGTAAAGTGGTTTTCTAAGCATATTTCAATATATACATATGCATGTATGTATGTACATATTCCAGATATTGGTTTATTTAAAGGAAAAAAATACCAGTTTTCCAAAGCATAGATTCCAAGGGGTATAATTAAGTTTAAAATTTTAAAGACATTTTGGACTTACTTTAATATTTCAGGCTGAAAAAAAAGTGAATGAGGTGGTAGTGGTTGGGAAGATACTCATTTGGCTGCTCAAAGAGATGTGTCTGGGTTCTGGGACCCCTCAAGTACAGCAGCAGCTGCGCCTGTAGATGATCCTGCACCTATTCCAAGAAGTGCCTGGCTGGAAATAGGAAATTCATGTTTCCTGATTACCTGCGCCAAATGCAGGGAGAAGCATTGTCAAGACCCTGCAATTCTTCTCGTTGGGTTTGTCATCGATGCTGTGGGTACAGTTTTCCAAAAAACAAAGGATAATGAAACTGAGTTAGGAGAATTTGATCATTTCATAACTCTGCCTATTAAAACCTTATATTCATTCCAAAAACTATAGAATGTGTGGATTTTCCAATTGTTATTCTCCTGGGATTTGAAAAATAATCTTCTTAAGCCAAAACTTTTTCTGAGAGTGGGAGAAAGAAATTTTATTTCCTGGAAACCTAATGAGAAATTGGGAAGCATAATAATAGAGCTGTTTTATTCATCACTAATGGACATATTTTGGAAGTAAAAAGTATAAAGAAACTATGAAAATAATCCCACTATATGCCAGAATTTTTAGAAAAAATAGTTTTATAGAATTAAAATTGAGGGAGGAAAAATTAAATCAAAGAGTGAGAAATAAATATAAGCTTTAATCCTAGGAAGAGTTAGAAGTTAAACATTGCAGAAGAAATACTGAAAAGCCATACTGCCAGAAAAAGTCCCCTCATATCTGCCACATTGCTGAGATTTCACTATTAAAAAGCCCTTATTTTTTGATTTTTAACAAAAATCCTTTTGTGGCTCTCAGAGCGTTCCTCTTCCCAAATCAAAATATCTAATAGTTCTAGTGATGTTACATTGTGATTGGTGTCAAATACACAATTTGAACCCAGGTCACCTGACTGCCACCCCAGTGCTATTATCTAATAGTAATCTTGCTCAAAATGGAATTTTAACTCAATGCTAATCTGAAAAATAAAAATATTCTTGACCATTTTAATGCCGATATTTGTGTCTAGAGTTGTGCCAACTTTAATTATCTTTATTAATTATCAACTTTAATTATCTTGGACTGAAACAGATAAAAACTTAATGCATCCCAAGTGGCGGCCAAATGAGGTAGGGGAGCACTGTGCTAAGGAAGCTTTCACATAACTTTGAATAGAGAAAGTGATCAGCTCATTGTACAACAGCACAGAAGTATAGGATTGTTAGTAATGGCCAGCACCATCTTCATGAGGCTAGAGGCAGCTAAGTATTGGCAAAATAATATCACATTAGACAGGCACGGTGGTTCATGCCTGTAATCCCAGCACTTTGGGAGGCTGAGGCGGGTGGATCACCTAAGGTCAGGAGTTCAAAACCAGCCAGGCAAACATGGCGAAACCCTGTCTCTACTAAAAATACAAAAATTAGCCGGGCGTAGTGGCATGTGCCTGTAATCCCAACTACTCAGGAGGCTGAGGCAGGAGAATCACTTGAACCTGGGAGGCAGAGGTTGCAGTGAGCCGAGATCATGCGACTGCACTCCAGACACTTAGTGACAGAGCGAGACTCCATCCACCCCCCCAAATAATAATAATATCACATTAAATTAATGTGGGTAATTTAGCTCTTGGCTTTATATATTTGATTAACTTTAACTTGTAAATGTGTGAATACTGTTTCACGGTTGTATAAAACTTTTGAGCATACGGGGGTCTGAGAGAATTCTTTTAAAAACAAAACATTATTGGAGTTCTGAAGTTTAGCAAACTGTGTCCTTTACTAGTTGAGACATTGGACTCTCTTGTCTCACTCCCACTTGTAATGGAGATAATTGATGTGTGTGTGTGTGTGTGTGTATGTGTGTGTATCGGCTGCAAATACAGAGCCAAATTAAATGTTAGAGGACCCAGGTCCTTTGGTGCCTAATTCAAATCCAAGGGCTTTTGAGCACAGGGAGATGACTTCTAGGTAACCAGGTAACCACTTTTATATATTGAGTTTGTGTCTGAACGCAAAATTTCCATGTGTTAGTCATTCATTCTCATTCGTGGTCTCACTTGAACAATTTCCTGAAGAAAATGTGTATTTTAAAATATGCCTAATTTCTAGAAGTCCCAATAATTGGGAAAGAACTCCTGTTCATTCATTCTGCATTGTTACTTGGGGACAGAGCTGGGACTTGAAGGCAGGAGAACTGAACTCCAGAGCCTGTGTCTGTTCACCTCCTTGCTTTAGAGACTCAAAGATTGTTCATTCTAAAGTGATGACATAAAGACAGTCCCCAGAATGGCTATTACATCATTGAAGTAATGGTGACATTGAGCTCTAAGAAGTGACAAAGGGAAGTTCTAGTTCTGGGAAGCTCTATTAGGCAGTTTTCTAGAATTTCTCTTTCTCCATCCTTATGTCTTTTTGCTAAATTCTTACCTCCAGCAGTCATCTGACTATGTCGCTAATCTTTTAACAGGAGAAAGCTGTATCAGTGATCTACTGTTGTATAACAGACCATCCCCAATTTAGTGTTTGAAACAATGATTTATTGTCATGTTCCCATGAATTCACTATTCTGTTCCATGTAGTGTTGGCTGGGATCACTCATGCATCTGCACTCAGCTGGTGGCTGGGCTAGGGTACATTGATTCTTTTCCTCTAGATGGTCTCTGTCTCTCTAGCAGGGTTCTTTAAAGCACAGCAGCTAGATTCCAAAAGGGAGCATTCCAAAAGGACTAACCCCAGTGTGCAAGTGCTTATGGAACTTCTGGTAGCCACAGCAATTTACATGGCAAACCCATGGTCCATGTGGAAGGGGACTAAAAGACAGTATTCATGCAAAACAGTGTGATTGATTGGGAGCCATCAATGTGTCAGCCTACAAATGAAATGTAGCTATGTATGAATTTCCATTTTTTAATGTATTTTCAAGGAGTGTCGGAATGTGATTACATTTTGTATGTATGTGATTACACATGTGCAAATCTATTAATATAATGTGATCTTGCCTGTTAAAGAGACATATAAGAATCTGGAATAGGCTCCAGAGAAGTTCTACTTGCCCCTCACCCTCTAATTTCCAAACAAATTTCAGTTCATGGCAAGTGACACATGAAATAAACCTGACAATGGACAGGGGAATGGTGTAAACATGCAACATTCAATGTATTAGAAAAAGTTAACGTTATCCTGCACATGTACTCCTGGACTTAAAAGCTGAACAAAGAAAAAGAAAAAATGTGAATATGGACAATAATTCTAAACAAACAGGGCAGGTATTTAAAGAAATTAATTTTTAAAAGTGAAATTATAGGTTCTTAAACCTAAATTTTGTGCAAAAAAAAAAATCCTTCCACGTATTGGCGTATCAGTCCCCCCTATTCAAGGGCCTTGATCATCATTTGTGAAGCTCATTAGTTTCATATCTGATGCCAAGAGAAGTAATAAGGTCCAATCACTGGGAGAAGGTACATATCAAGGTGGGTTTTGCAAGGTGAGATATAAGCTAGAATTTGGGGAAACATGTAAAACTTGGCATGATATAAAAAAAGAGGCTGGGCGTGGTGGCTCCCGCCTGTAATCCCAACACTTTGGAAGGCCAAGGTGGGCGGATCACCTGAGGTGGGGAGTTTGAGACGAGTCTGACCAACATGGAGAAACCCCGTCTCTACTAAAAATACAAAATTAGCCGGCGTAGTGGCAAATGCCTGTAATCCCAGCTACTTGGGAGGCTGAGGCAGGAGAATCGCTTGAACCTGGGAGGCGGAGGTTGCGGTGAGCCGAGATCACGCCATTGCACTCCAGCCTGGGCAACAAGAGCGAAAATCTGTTTCCAAAAAAAAAAAAAAAAAAAAATCAAAAGTGTGGAAAATAATATGATAATAACCTCTGTTAAACTTGCATGAGGGAATGGACTAGACCTAAGTGTAAATAGGTGATTTGATTGGGGTCATTTTGATTGCTTGGCAATACAATTCCTTTCTTTTATATTTAATCAGAATGTTTGTACATCTATTTATTAATTGACCCAGTGGGTAAGACGACCACAGTGACTGGGCTTAGTGTAAATACTCATTAGTTCAGTTCTCTTGATTGGATCAGATGACCCTTTTACCCATACGATCAATACATTATGTGACGCATAAATGGTTCGTCCAAACTTCTAAGGGTGACATTACTCCATTCAACAGTGCTCTCCCCACAGAGAAATAAGCATAGCTAAGGAAATAACTTCTTTTAATGAGATTAATCCCGATGATAACTTAAAAGGCAGTTTTACTGCAAGATGTAGATGACTTTCAAACCTCCTTATTAATTAAAATATTGAATCATTTTTGGTGTCATCAACATGGTGGTTATAAATAAAAGTGAGACTGGGGGAGTAGTTTTTTAAATAAATGAAGCCATAACCCTAAAATTTTCTGCCACGGATTACCCTGAAACTCTTCATAAATTCACCTAGAACAGGATTTAAATGATGCCTGCATTAACCATAGTCAAAACTGGTGATCAAATGCATTTCTACCCACAGAAACCCAGATGAAGGAATGCTGAGCCCTTCTTTCCACCAGGACCTAAATATTTCCTGAAAGTTTGAAACTCGAGGCTCAGCGTCTACTCCTTCCCCAATATTTCTGCAACAATTTTATTGGGACCAATAATTTATGCAAATGTGAGGCTGAACAGTTGGGCTCCTCTGGGAGCTTTCCACTGTGTTGGTGCTAGTTTGGATCGTGTGTGTGCGCGTATGCGCGCACGCGCGCGTGGAAAAACCGGGTATTTCCCTAAAGGAGTTTAGTTGACACCAAGAGGTCACTCCCCTGAGGAGCCGGCTGCAGGGCGGTGATTCGCCCCCGGGATGGTGGCGGCGATTCCGTGCGCCTTCCTGCAGTTGGACATCAGTTATATTTCAGGCTTTCAAAGTAAACGACGAACTCAGCACTTTGGCAGAGTCCAAAATCCGCCAGCGAACTTGGGTGCTAGAGTTCGGCGGGAAGAAAAGGTGACTCAGAGATGCAGCACATTTTTCTGGCACTTTCCACCGAGGATACTCTAATAAACGGGGGAGGGGGAAAGAGGGAGGGAAGGAGAGGAACACCCTCCTCCTCTTCCAGAAACTGCACCTCAGCCTGAAATTTGGGTATTATTTTACCTGTATTTATAAAAACCACCACCGCACTCCCTGCACCAACTACCCAACTGCCTCGACTTCCATTAAAAGCAGCTACTAAGACTAAAGAGAGGGAAAGACTAAGGGCGGGGTGGGGGGAGAGACAAATAAATAAATAAAAGAGAGCGCGAGGGGGGAAGGGGAGAGAAGGGAGAGGGAGCGCCTGGGACTCGAGACGGCGGCAGGTTCAATTAGCTAAACAAAGAAATCATGGCGGATTGTTTACATTTGGCAGCGCCCGGGCTGCGCCGACCGCCGGCCCCGAGCCGCCGCGGGCTCCGAGGAGTCGGCCGAGCTGCTCCCGCGCCCTGGCCGGGTAAGTGACGCCGGCCGCGGGCCCGGGGCGGCCGCCGCGCGCGCCACCCCCGCTGCCTCCCCGCCCCCGGCGGCCCCGGAGCACCCCCACCATCCCCTGCCCCCTCCCCCACCGGATCGCCCCAGCCCCCTCCTCTTGCCCCCGGCGCAGCTGGGCTCCGCTTGGATTTCGGTGACGCTGTGGCTCTGTTCGTTTGCTGCTGCTGCTGCTGCTGCTGCTGCTGCAGCCAGGGGGAAGGGGTGGGGAGAGTTGGGGTGGGGGCGGCAGAGCAGTGTGGAGAGCAGTGCCCCTCCACTCGTTTGTTGCCTCTTGGGGTCAGGACCTCCCCGCCTGGGCCAGCCCAGCGGACGGCCCCGGTGCGCGCTCGCCTTGCGCCACCGCCTCCGGGACCCAGGCGGAGCGCGCCACTCAGCCCGGGAGGTGGGGCCGGGCAGTGACCCCGCGCGAAGTGCCAGTGCGGAGGGCGGGGGTGGTTACCGAAAGATGTAATCCCAGGAGGGGCCGCCGCCTTCGCTGTCCCCTACCTGTACCCTCTCTTTATCCTACCCTCCATTCCCCGACCCTTTTCTCCCTCTCTTCTCCCCGTTCTTTTCTACTCCCCTCATTGCTTTTCTCAGACCGGCCTTAGGGTTGAGAACCTGCTCAAGAGGTCGCCTTCCAAAGGCTGACCTTGCCAAAGCCACCCACGTCTGTGAGAGCTTTTCCAAAGATTGACTCTTTCCTCATCTTTGTGGCCCGAGGGTTCACTTTTTTTCCGTAGGGTGGAACTCTTTCTCCTACAGAGGCTTTTTAGACGAGTGTCTTTGTGCTGCGGTTGGCACAGCAGTACTAGGAGGTTAGGTAATGACAGGGGAGGAAAACAAAGGCAACAAATAGGGGGAAAAAGGGAGGGCAATGTCACCAACAACAGAGGGGGCTTTCTGTATTCCCAGAAAAGATGGTTTCCTTTGCGGAATGCTTCCAGCATCATCGGCATGCAACTGACATATTTGCTTTGTACAGAGAAAAACAAATTCTTAGGTCCTTCAAGTTAACCTCTATTTTCCTTTCAATAAAACTTTAAAAAAATGTTTAGTGCATTCAGTAGTTTGCTTTTTCTCTTTCTTTTGCTTCCTCTTTCCAGAACCTTAGTTAATATCTGTGTCCTATTTGGGAGAAAATCACAGCCAGGACTAGCTGTGGAACAGAGCAGGACTGGAGTTGGTGACATTTAAGCAGCCTTGACTGGGGGCCAGGGCAGCAGAACCAGGCCCAGTTGCTTCTCTTGCATACGTCTTTTTGAGGCTCTGACATCACACTGCTGCTGGGTTGCTAATGCACCATTGTAAATCGTACAGTGAATTGCTGTATTACCTGAGAAAGAAAATGCTGGCATTAAAAACAATCTTTTTTGCATTATCATAGCAATCATATCTTCTATACAAAAAAGGATTCAAGCGAATTCTTGATTCATAATTTTTATTATACCCTGTGGAAGGCCCATCTGGAATAAGATATGCACGTACTATTTCTCTTCTTCCCCTTGAAGGTGGCAAACACTAGGTGGTTGGTTCTCATTTGTTAGATTACACCAAATTATGTCTATTTTTTGCTTAATCACCAAAGCAACTTTCTATCCAGCTCACTACATGTTTAGTAAAGCAAAACTTATTTCACAATTACTATTTGGCAGGTATAGCCCATCACCTTACCATCCCACTACTCAGTTCTTTTTGACCCATTGACATTTTAAAAAGTAAGGTTTATCTTCAGAGAGCAGAATAGAAATGAGAGTGGGTAGCGAGTCTTAGCTAACTCAAGAACTCAGGACTTAGTGGAGTTAGAAGCTTTCAGTGAAGATTGCACATGTGTATTTTCAGTTTTGTGGACATGAGAAACACAAAGCTGGTGGTTTCATAAAGAGCTTCTACCCAGACACTTAACTCACCAGTTAGCTTGAGATCGCATTACTCAGTAACCCCAAGCACATTCTCATAAATGGATTTTATGTTGACTCCTTGTCCATATCAGTTCAGAGATCATAATCATGGAAGAAAGTGAATTGCCTTCCACAATGACTTTAACAGAAGTAGAAAGATCAGCCTATGGGTTATAGATCTTGCTGACCCATTAAGGGTCAGTAAATTAGTAGACTGCACTTGAGTTGACACTTCTGATCCCAACTTAATGTGTTGATTAACTCATGGCTGCCATCTTCATTATGGGCTATTAGCACATTGTTAAGCCTGATCTTAGAGTAAGAAATTGTTTTTATGTTTACTTTTTGGTTCCCAAGGTTAATCAATATTCATTATGGCCTTACTGTTTTTCTTTAAACTGAGGAGGTTAAATAAGTCCTTCTATAGAGAAAAGAAAATTTAATACTATATATATGAATTTGGGATGCAAAATATGGGATGGAAGAATTTTGCAATATACACACATATATCGTTAGAAACACCATCTCCAAATGTAAAAATACTTATTATATATATACATATTAAGAAATTTGAATCTACATCTTTCTCATTGGTAGCTAGCATCCTTTCTTACTCTTGTGTGTGCATTTGAATGACAGACAAATTTAATGTATGATATTTAAACCTCCAATGCTGGTTTCTGGAAATTGCTGTGTAGAAATAGTCAATGCCTAAGTCTAGACCTTGTCTACTAGTTAAGTGTAAATTGTAGGCTCCAGTGAGGCAGATATCTGTGATCAGTTTAAGCTAGAAATCAATCTCTAGACTGCATTATTACATCCATGAAGCATTTCTTCTTTCCTGGTTTTCCTGAAGTTTCAAGGTAGTTGCAGTCCTGGTAGTCTGGGTATCATCAGTAAGTACTCTGTAGTCTCACCATTTGGTAATCAGTATGTCAATAATGCTGGGAAAACTGCTTAAGCTCGCAAGATTTATACTCCCAACCATGTAATAGATAAGAGTTGCATAGGTCGTTCCACATGGAACTTCATTCCAAACTCAATCTGTTCTTGTGTCAGCTAGGCCCCAAAGTAACAATTTCTGGTAGGGGTTTTTGGATCTATTACTTGGCAAACATTTATTGAAACTCAAGCAAAAACAAAATGTAATGAAACCCATTAGTCTACAGAAAAATATAAGGAGAATTGGGATATTTTTCTGCCTCTGAAATCAAGATGAAGAAGGGTGTTGAGGAAGCCTGATAGTATCAATAACAAAGGAATGGTCCCCCAAATCATGAGAGGCCACTGAATTTGTCAAAGAGGAGGTCATTGATAACCTTACCATGGGCATTGACTGAGGGTGTAGATCGGAGGGCAAGATTGTGGGAGGGTAAAGAAGAAGAAGATGGTGAGAAAGCTATGATAGATAATATTAAATTTGAATATCTCAGGATGACATTCTTGAAAGGTACTGTAGTTGGCAAATCCTCTGTTCACAAGGCCAGTCTCAGAGAAAATAGTATCTTAGTAGAAACTAAATTTTAAAAGTGTTAAGTACATTAAAAACTTTACAGCAAATAAAAGCCGAGGAAGGCACCTGCCTTCAAAATTAGCCACATTGTTGGCATTAAAAGCCTGTACCAACAGGTAATCCCCTTGAATCATCTTCTTTAGTCGTTCAGGGACACATGGCTGCAGAATTGTGATCTGCTGAGTACAAGTCTCCAAGCTCTAGGGTACACAGATTATTTTTGGTTTTAAAGTGTTTGAGCCCATTATTACTTGAAATTCAATGTCCTTTGCACTTGCTTCCTCCCTTATTTCATTTCCTTAAGCCCTGCCAAACTGCTTTTGTAACCATGTAGCCTTTCTACAAATTATCTTGGTATTTAGGGGAAGTTTTTTTCCTTTTAAGGGTGGTGGTGCATCTGGTGTCGTTATCTTTAGAGTTAGAGGATGTGCTGTCAGCAGACCCCTTTCTGAAACACACAGCCCACCAGCGAGATAGCAATGTTTATTGTCTGTCCTGCCCTTTCAGGGACTGAACTGAAGCTGTAATACATAAAAACATTGTAGGTTTTAAACTTATAATGTGTAAATATAAAGTGAATTATTTAAAATTTGTCTGGCAAGAGTTTACGTATAGGTATATGTAAAAGAGGGAGACGTAAAAGCAAAACATTTGGCTTTTATTTGAATGCAATCTGTAGATCTTTTTTTTTTTTTAATAAGAATTTGGCTTAATTAAGGTGGCTTTGTGGTATGCTGTGTGCTTGGAGCAGGAATGGGAGACCAGCAAGGGCTATGAGTCACAGGCTGTGAAAAACAAAGTGGGGCAGCAAAACATTCCCCTTCAACCCAGATCTTCACCCCTGCCCATCTCAGGCTAAACAGCAATATCAACAACCATGGCCATAGAGGTAGGCCAACTCAAATCAGTAGAATCTGCATCAAGGAAAACAGAGTAGACAGTATGTCAAAGGAGCAGCAGCTCTTGTCATCGCTGGGTTTTCAGATACATAAATCAGAGAGCTCTGTGCCAGTTAGTACCAGAGCTAGTGGAAGCAGAATCTTGTTGGAGGAAGAGGCTGGCTGAAGTTCACTGAGAGGCCAAAGTCCCAGTCTTGCTTGCACCTGGGCTTTATTGCTACCAGAATACAAGCTAGGAACCAGGTAGATGTGTCAGAGAGCTAGGTAGACTTCATGTGGAGATTAGGTGAGGTGTGGGTATTTGGGCTTTGCTCTCACTCCAGAACCCTTTGTTTAGGGGCAGCAGACCCAACCCCTCTTGCCAAATCCATTTCTACCAATGGGTTAGAGTGTTTATTGTTCTATTATGTCTCTGCTGTGCATGTTTATGGAAAGAGGTGAAGACTGAGTATGGCTGCAAAGATTGGATAAACAGGGTAGAAAATGATGGGGACTGATAAAATGGAGTAACCCAATGAGACTGCAGAATTAACTAAAATTAAATTATATTATTTTATATTTATTATAATATAATATAATTATGATATAATATTCCATAAGTACAGTATCTGAAAACAACAACCATATGCTCAGATAAAATCATGGGTCTGAGATTATATATATTCAACAATGCACTGAAAGTTAACTTTAACTTGCTCTTAATTATGTCAGAATTCCTATATCAAGCCCTTGTGTGTGTCACAACTCAATGAAATTTTAAAATTCGAGAATATACTCATACAACACATTTGACACATAACCATCCTTTCCAAATGAAAGACTCTAAATATAGTCCAGGTGAAACTGAGCACTGGAAAGAGACAGTGAGTTTGACAATGGCATTCTATTATTAGTTGCCATAGTTTCCACTGTAACAACACATTTCTTTAATTATATCTTTCTGAGGACATCACGTAAGATTTAACAGGATTGATTAAATGACAGTAACTTTCTGGCTAAAACAAAACAACAAATATCAAACATCTTTACCATCTCGTAATTCAAGAATGGAAGAATGATATTCCATATATATAAGAGGCTCTATGAATCTCTAAGAATATCACTCAATCAAGAACACAGACAGAACTCAACATATTAAACATTCAGATCAACATCTGAAAAATCAATCTTAATTTCACTTTTTATGTGTATTTTCTATTGCTGTTATAAAAAAATTACAACAAACTTCGTGGCTTAAGACAACACAAATTTATTATCTGACAATTCTGTAGGTCAGAGCTCTGATACACTTCTTGACTAAAATCACGGTGTCACCAGGGTCTTAGTTTTTTCTGAAGGCTCCTGAGGAAAATCCATTTTCTTATCTTTTCCAGCTTCTAGAGGCCACCCACATTCCTTGGCTCAGAGCCCCCTTCCTCCATCTTCAAAGTCAGCAATGTTGGATGTTTCTGACCATTCTTCCATAGTCACGTTTCCCTCTAACTACAGTTGAGAAAGGTTTCCTGCTTTTAAGCAACCACGTGATTTGATTAGGCACACCCGGATAGTCCAAGATAGTCTCCCTCTCTCATAGTCTTTAACCTTAATCACATTTGCGGAATCCATTTTGCCATAGAAAGTTTCATATTCACAGGTTCCAAGGATTAGGATGTGAACACTTTTGTTGCCCTATTATTCTGCCTAATCTTTAATTCTGCTTTCTTCTTAACCATGTTAGAATTTAATTCTGCTTTCTTCTTAACTGTGGCCTATGTTAGGCCACTCTAGAAGCAGTGGCCAAGGCAAGGATCCCAGTGCCTTTGAAGTTTAAAAATACAAGTTTCTTTGGGAGTAACACCAAAAAATGCTGATAAGGGAGTAGAGAGAAGAGACAGGAAATTAAAGAAATACAAGATAAGGTGTATTAACAAGCAAGTTACCACTGGGATATTCTGAGAGTTAGTGTAAGACTAAGAGTTATTCTAATGGAGGAGTGAGGAGTTTGTGGCATTTGTCCTCCAAATCTCTATCTTTATTGGTTTGAGCTGCTTCTAAGGGTATTATCTCTCTGGCATTGCTGGCTTGTCGTACATGTGGGCCAAGCATATTCCCCCAGCCAGGCTGAATACCTCAAGCAAAGATTATAGGTGTTCACAGCAAGCAGCTTTCAGTGTGAAGAAATGAGTGCTTGGAGTTTATGTGTGGGGCACCCATGGCTCTGCTACCCCACCCCCCAGATTTAGTTATTCACTAAGTCTTATGTTTTGTTATTCCTACATTAATTTCTTTGCACTTCCCTCTTTCTAGTACTACAATTGAGATCAGCCTTTCTGCATCAGTCTACTAATCTGTTCTATTCCACTCTAATTTGTGCTATATATGGCTCAAAATTTGTCTTCCTGAAAAATATGGCTTTTCGAGTATTACTTAGACAAGCAAGCAAAGAAAAGTCTCCACTGATTTCTCATTAGCTGTAGGAAAATGTGAAAAGAGAAGTCTTCAGCCTAGCGAGCCCTCAGGTAATTCCATTCTAGCCACATGATACCTTATCTTTGTCAATTCTTATGCTTATACTGTCCTATATATATCAACTTTACCCTGTCCCTGGAGACCGGAAGTATTAATCCAATTTGCCTAACTATGCTTTTGTTTTGTTCATAGTCCTTAAGTCTTCAGATCTAAGCCTGGCTGATATGGAACTTTTCACCTGGCCCAGGTGAGACATTCTTGTCTCATTACTCATTACTTGTCTTATCACTATTTTTGAGCCCATCTTATGATTTCCTTTCCTCTTGCTCTTGATCATAGAGTTTCTTTTTCTAGGCTAATGATCTAATACCTGCCATCCTTGAAGGTTCGGATAAAACCTTTCCCTTCTTTATTTAGCCTTCCATTAGCCCATCCCAGCTGGAAGTGAGGTATCTCTCTTCTCTGAAAGCTTTAAAACTACTATTTTAGCTTTTATTATTTTGTGTTCATAATTTTAGCTATTTTTTCATAGAATGTAAGTTTAATCACTTCAGACAGGTTCTAAGGTCTTTGAAGATAACAGAATATCATACTCTCTTACCTCTCAAATCCTAGAATATTTTGATTGTAGTATGTACTCTTTAGCTATTTGTTGATACATTTGTCAGACACAAGTAATCTGTTTTGGAAAAGTGTGCACAGTATATTTCAAAGTGAAAACTAATAAAGAAAAAATAATCAGTATTTCAGTGATGTGCTACTGTTGCGCTACAAAGCAATTCATTACTTGAGTTAAATGATAAAAAATCTAATTCTCTTTTTTCTTACTTCAGCAAAGCAATTTTTTTAAAGTTAAAGAAACCAACACATTTAAAACTAAGATATCTTAAAAGTATGAACAAGTTTGGATGTTTCTCCTCTATTCTTAACCTAGACCTAAGAGATGTGGTGAGGATGACAAAGTCCTGTTCCATTTTGAAAACTGCTGAAACACCCTTAAAAAGTGTTTGTACTTTTTTATTTAAAATTTTCAAATTTCCAAAACTAATTTAAAAAGAATCTAGGATACGACTTTACTTGCAAAGCATATATATCCAGTGGCTTCTTGGATGCTGGTGTTTCCATTTTTCATTGGGGGAAAAAATAAATGCTCCATTTTCATTTTGATCTCCTTTGTCAAGTGTGAGGCCTGCAAAAGGTTGGGAAGCATGGCTAATTATTTGTTATGGTATCAGCATAGCTTTTCTTTTGTGCATAATTTTACACCTCAGAGTCTGTGCTTTGGGGTGCTTTTTCAGTGTTGGAAATAGAACTTCACAGTGCCTTTAATCAGGCTCTTTGGACCAACAGGCATTGTAGTACTGCCAGCAGAATAGGACAAAGTTACCTGCCAAGGGGAGCATCCTTTGTTATCTCCGACCTCATTAATACCAATCAATTGAGTTAACAATCAACACATACTGCTTGGATTACTCAACCCTGGGAGTTTAAAAATACTCATGCCTGAGCCCCACCTGCAGACATTCTAAGGTCTGGTCTGTGTTCTGGGCATCTGAATTTTGAAATTAGCCCTAGGTGATTCTAAAGAGCAGCCAAAACTAAAAACCACAGGTCTGATCCCTACTGTCCCCCGAAGCCTGATAGAATATGGATATCATGGATTATAGAGCTTATAGATAATATAGAAATCATCTACTCTCCTCTCTGATCTGAAACAATTTATGAGCTGAGCAAGCAGATCTGGCAGTATTAAGAGAAGTGACTCATACAACAGGAGTCACGGCTAAACTTCAGGTCTCCTAACTTACGGGCCATAGTCCTTCCCTACTTAAAGTATGGTCATGGGACCAGCAGTGTCACTTGGGAACTTATTAGAAATGCAGAACTTTAAGCCCTACCGCTGATCCCCTGAATCAGAATCTGTTTTCAATGAATTCCCCAGGAGACTCGAATTCACATACTTTTGAGAAGTGTTCATCTTTACCATTGCTTAACTGTTGTCTCTTATAGGTTAGAATCTCATTTATCTCTGTATCCTCAACATCTAGCACAATGTCTGGGACATGTGCATTTTAAATGCATTTTTGCTACAAAAGATGTTAGACATGTACTTTAAAACATTTATTCTTTGAATAGATGAACTTTATTATACTTTCCATATACTGTTCCATGTTTCATCTTTATGAGCCTTTATTGTGTACTTTAAGTATACTTATTTTGTACTAGGCATTGTAACTACGAAGGTAAATGAGATATTTTCTAGGAGGTCACTATCTAGTTGGAGAAGAGGGATCGTAAACAGATATAATACATGGAGTTAGAAACACAATGGAAACAGTGTGGCATAAGAGCCCACAATGGAAACAGTGTGGCATAAGAGCCCACAATGTTTGCCATGGGAATGTGAAGAAAGAACACTGGGTTTGGGTCTTCGGGTGGTCTTGGGGTTTGAAGGGCAAAGCTGACTTCAGATAGCTATTAGGAGCCAGCCAGATGATGGAGATGAGGGATGCAGGTAGCACTGCTCAAAGGGTGGTTTAAGAAGAGACAGCAGCCTAGGCAAAGACTCAGAGATACCTTGTGCATCAAAATAGAAGGAAAACTACACTTAAGAGTGGCTACTCTTGAGAATCCAGTAGAAGGATGACTAGAGGTGGGGTGTAGGGAAGAGAAGAGGGTTCCTGTGTTTCTTATCCACCTGGATTTAGATGTAAAGGAAAATATTTAGAAAACCAAGGAACAGCCCAAAATTTTACAACTCGGAAATATCAATATTAATTGCATGTGAACTGAGAAATGCCTTACAGTCCAGATTTTTTTTTTTTTTTTTTTTTTTTTGAGATGGGGTCTTACTCTGTCACCCAGGCTGGAGTGCAGTGGCATGATCTTGGCTCACCGCAACCTCCGCCTCCTGGATTCAAGCAATTCTCCTGCCTCAGCCTCCCGAGTAGCTGGGATTACAGGCATGTGACACCAAGCCCGGCTAATTTTGTATTTTTTTTAGTAGAGATGGGGTTTCTCCATGTTGGTCAGGCTGGTCTTGAACTCCTAATCTCAGGTGATCTGCCCGCCTCAGCCTCCCAAAGTGCTGGGATTACAGGCAAGAGCCACCGCGCCCGGCCTACAATGACAGGATTTGGAGATCTTGTCATTGTGCTTTCCTGGTCTAAATCCTCAGAACTGCCTAGCATTCACAATCAACAATAAGCAAAGAGCAGTCCACTTCAATCCAGACAGAATCATATAATTCCATTACCTTCAAAGTACCTTTCCTTTTCAAATGAGACTGTGAGTTTAAAGAAGCATTGTCGAGTAGGGTAACTACTAGCCACATGTAGCTGTTGAGCTTTTGAAATGTGGTTAGTCTAAATTGAATGGTGCTGTAAGTGTAAAATGCATACCAGATTTGGAAGACTTACCAAAATAATGTAAGATATCTCAATTTTTTATATCAATGACATACTGAATTGGTAATATTTTGGATACATTGGGGTAAAAATATATTAAAATCTATTTTACCTGTTTCTTTTCACTTTTTTAATGTGAAAATTAAAATTATGTATGTGGCTCACATTATATTTCTGTGAAAAGAGTTGGCCTAGATTATTTAAACCTGAAGATGCCACCGAATAATGACCTTTCTCTTCTTACCCTGGAAACTCACTCCCATCTTCTACCCTGGTAACTGACTCCATATGGGGCTCCAGAAGCCTTGGAAGTGGTTTTAGCTTTTAAGTTGTAGAGGTAAAGTTTTTTAATAATTGTGTCAAGTTGGGATAAAGTAAAATGAATAACAGGTAAAATTTTGCCTTTATCAAGTATTTAAAATTTTTTATTTTAGTATATCTCTTAAACATCCCTGCAGTTATTTTTATTTAATGGTTATGCAAGTTTATGACTTGTCCAACTCTTTCCCTCTGAAGCCTGAATAAAATGCCATTGTCAAATACACCCTTTCTAATCTGTGTTATTTGACATACAGTAGGTAGGACAGAGCTTTAGGTTCTATTTTCACTTCAGTGCAGATGTGAAAGTTCCAGTTAATGAGAGCGTAGTGTAAGTGTTTGTGTTTCAGGAAGAAAAGGCTCCCTGAATCTGCCTTAAAGCTTTAGATATTCTGTACAGGGAATAAAGTGATAGGCTCAAATTAACTGTGGCCAGACAGATCCACATGATATGAATATAAATGTTTAAGTTTTGTTCGAATTAAGGTTCTTGGTATCAAGGAAAGTGCTTTCTCACTAGGCAAGTCAGAATCACTGTATCTTACTCCTCTGCTGGGACATATAGTATGGGTTTTTCATTGAACTCAACTATGAGATTTTATTCAAGTCCCTTATTTGGATACATTTAAAGGTAGCTTCAGTAGTCTAAAATTTTCAGTCCACATTTTTGGGGGTCTTCATAAATCTTTCCTGATTACATCAATGGTGATGTGGTTAATTGGAAAAAAAATATGGAGGCTAGAATGTGAATTTTAGAATCAGCAGACAGGTTTTAATGCCTCACCATTTGGTGATTAGAAGCAGGTCACTTCACCAAAAAACAGTTTTCTGAAGGATAATTACCTCGAATTGTATTTCTCCAAAAATTACTTCTCAGAAAGTCAATTCACCAAAATCCAATTTCCCTACTGAACACTTCATGGAATGATCAATTTGCCAAATCACTGCTTTATAAAACTTTCCTTCTATTAGGTTTCTTAAAGTTTGTAGCAAATCCTGCTGTATAAGGTGACTGTGGCAGCTTTGGGAGATAATTTAGAGGTTTAGTTTAGTTTAGTTTGGTTTTAGTTCTTCTTAGAACTGCAGCCATTTTACATTATAGCTTATGTATTTTGAATCACAGTGTTGTGTTGTCTTAAAATCAAGGACTTCTTAAATCATAAGGATAAGGTGAGTTCCCGTCATCTAACTCATTTTTAATCTAACCCATTGTCTTTTATACATTTTTGATTCACAGATTTGCTAACTGAATGAATCAAATGGATTACTTGTAATATATTTTAAACATACGCCTGAAATGTGAAACATACAGGAAATGACATTTAGCTGGTTTGGACTGACAAATGTGCTACAGAATTGCTGGGCTGAAATGGCTAGGGCAAAATTAAAAAGTAAACTAAAACTAGGACTAAACACAATTAAACTAAATATTCAAAATATCATTAAGGGTATTGAACCATCCCATGCAATTTGCTAGAAATTTTATAAAATGCAGAAAGTTTATGGCTTCTATCTCTTTGGTATGTTAACTTGGTACTGGTTTGTAGGAAGATTTGAGATGAAAGACAATAGCGTTGTAAGTGGTAGAAAATAAGCTGGAATGCCAGAAGGGATTTTATAATGGACCATGTAATTGAGACCTCAAATTTGATGTATACTAATTACCAATACAAAGTGAATTTAAATTCCTAAAAATTGTTGCCATGAAGATAAAATGAAAACCAGTCAACTAAAACTAGAAATAATATTTGGAAGCTTTAATTACTATGAATAATATTAATTGCTTTAAAAGTTGGACATAGTTTAAAGAAATAATTTTTTGGTAAATTTAGCAAATTGGCCATTCTTCATATTTATTATTTCGCAAATTGTCCATTTGATGAATAGATTTTTAGCAAATTGACCTAAAAGTGTACGATTTGTAGTAAGTTTGGTAAACTGTTCTAAATCTCACTTGCTTTACTCTATGAATGCGGATGATAGGGAGTATATGAGAATTAAATGAGGTAACTTAGGTACAGCACCTTATACATAACTTAACAAATGTTATGTCTTTATCCTTGGAGTGAGATTCCACCTGTGACTTAGCCACTAACCAGCTGTCTACCAAACCATGTCAACTTTTCTGGGCCTTAGCCTTCTCAACTTTATTATTATTATTATTATTTCGGGATGGAGTCTAGCTCTGTCACCCAGGGTGGAGTGTAGTGGTGCAATCTCAGTTCACTGCAGTTTTTGCCTCCCAGGTTCAAGTGATTCTTCTGCCTCAACCTCCTGAGTATCTGGCACATGCCACCACACTTGGCTAATTTTTTGTATTTTTAGTAGAAACGGAGTTTGGCCATGTTGGCCAGGCTGGTCTCAAACTCCTGACCTCAAGTAATCCACCCGTCTCAGCCTCCCAACGGGCTGGGATTAGAGGCGTGACCCACTGTGCCTGGCTAGCTTTCTTAACTTTAAAGTGAAGGGGTTTGACTAAATTATCTTGAGGATCTCGTTCCAACCAAAGAATTCTATGATGCTAAACACAAAGAAACAAATACCTCAAACACTGGCCTGCTTAGATTTCAAAACTTCTGAGGTCTGGGTTCCACAAAAGGACAGAATTCAAGGGTTAAGGTAACTGGGTCACTAGTGCTAATTATGAAGAGCCTCTCTGAGTTGTTTGCTTGGACCCTGAATATTTGGTGGTCCCAGGACTCCCAAGGTGATGTGCTCTTCAACACTTCTGAGAAAAAACACGTTTGGTCCTATCTAAGCCATGAATTGAGGAGGGAGACGAGCTGACTATGTTGGTTTCTTGCAGATGTCCAAGTATCAGTTCATTCTCCAAGGAGAGCTCCCTCACTGGTGTACTTGGGGCATAGGAGTATTCTAGGACTGCCTGAGGGCTGCCTGAGCACCTACTAGAATGCTAACTAAGCATGAGTGACCTGTTGGTTTCTGCCCCTATCCACTCCACCCTGGTCTTTTTTTTTTTTTTTTTTTAACTTATCAGTATTGCACATTTATTTGCTATACTCAAAGAGCCTCTCTTTTATTAAAAGTAAATAGCATACGTGTAACTGTATTACAGCCCCTGAACATGTCTGTGCAAAGCAAGTCCTTTTTCTGACTGGAGCACACTTTACTTGTGAATCCAAATTAGAATAATAAATAAATAACTTTTTTTATAGCAGACCAACAAGCTTCTGGTGAAAATAGCTACTGCCTAATTTAAAATGCTATAGAAAAATTTGATTCTTTCTTGATATTTTATGATGTTAGAGGTTCTCCCCCCACACAGCAAAGTTTACAAATATACTGTACATCCAGCTAATACTACAGCCTTAGAGTAACTGCATTTTCCTACATAATTTTAAGCCTATCTTCAGGAGTTCTAAACAAAGTAAAAAGCACATACATTTCCATCCATAAAATACAGCACAAATCTCACTACATTTTCTCAGGGGTAAAAGAAAGAAGTATCTCCATGCTCTGGGAACCATTGACAGAACATATTGCAATCTTTTCATTAAGTTCACACTAAATGAGGATTTAACGCATGGGCAAAACATTCCATCCCTAGAGGTTCCAGTGCCCATAATCCCACCTTGAAAATATCTCCATATTAATTGTTGCAGCCAAGTGGACACGGAGTTTTGCTGCTTGGCACTCCTACTTCACAGATAACTAACTGCAATCATGGAAACCTTGGTTTTTTATTTTCTAATACATCCTTATTCGAGCAAATATTTCATATATTCCTTTAAACCCAGAAAATCCATGTGGATCAAGCTAAACAGTAATGCCTTTAATGTATTTTGATCTTAACTGTATGACTTTTAGAATATTTATAAATACATGTACTTCTGTTAGACACATGTATCTATACTCTGCTTTAAAATTTGATATCTGAAAATTCATATTTCAGAAACTGATAAATTGCAGATTGGTCATCCACATTACTAAAAAACTAGCTGAGGCTTCCTTTAAGAAACTGTATCCCTAGTTAATTTAAAATATGATCCAATGTATAAGTATTTTGTTTTCACATCACTCCTGGGATGCATTTATTGTTTAAAGTGAGGTACACCTGGATGAAATGAATGTTTATAAGTTCTGGCTTACCTTTTCCATTTCTGTGCCTCAGGCTGTTAGCTGCCGAAGTCCTACTTTCTCTAAAATCATGTACTTCAGCCATTTAATAAACTCATAATAAGTGAGTTTCCCAAATAACCATTGGGACATATTTTACACTCATTTTCTTAAAACAAAGAAAATAAAAATTTCTTGTGTAGTAAATCCCTCACTACTCACAATTCTACCTCACAAATAAGAAGAGCTTAGTTGTTTCCAGAGACTGTACACAGTTTGCAACTCTGGCATGGTGGAAAATCCTGGCACATGAACAGCCAGTAGGAGCAATGTGCCAGTTTTGAATTGTTCACTGTTTTTATTATAGGTTCTAGGTTTCAGATGAACAGGAGCCTCCTATTGCTTTTATAGCAGGATATTAAATTGTAGCCTCTGGCAGGAGGCACCTGCCCTCTTCCTGGCATGCTGTAGTCAGTCTTTGGCCATGTGGTACTCTAGTGTAATGTATATTTTGTGTTTTGCTCTACATGGGGATTTAAACATAGCGGAACACAATCTCTCCCTGAAGGTATGCAACCCTTGGTGTCAGGTCTTGATAAAGTCTTCACACTACCGTACTAAAATTCAATGTGTATGGAAGGTCCTGCCTTCCACAGAATGTTTTTAGTGGTAGAATGAAATAAAATTTTATGAGCATCTTAGACAAATGTATATAATATCTTGTTGCCTTTGGATAGAACTTTCCTGATAGCTCCTTTGCCCTGGCTGTCTGTTCTGTTGACCACACATGATGATGTGTTTAAGTCCACCTAGTATTTGGAGAATTAATCATATATATATATATATATATATATACACACTGATTCCTTGTCCATGCTCTGCAGGCAGATCAGTATATTCTCCCCCAGATTTAAAACTAAGAGTATTGGAAGTAATTAATAATCTTTGAATACACTGTAAATCTTTGTCATTTATTGATGAATATTCAATCATATATTTCAAAAAACTGGAATGTACAAGTAGTACAAAGTTTTGCTCTTATAATTGCAGTACAGAGCAATGATTTAGTCTGTTATTAAAATAAAAGGCACAACTTTAACATCCTTAGTTTTAATAGTGTGATCTGAAGTTTATTTTGATGGCATTTCTCTTGAAGTTCCATCTTCTAGAATTGTCTAGCTGAGCTTACAACTTACTACTCAGTTAAAAAGAGTAATTAAATCTGTTAATGCACAATTGTGGAAGTATGGATGGCTTTTTGAAATGCGATATATTTAACCTTTACCTTATTTATTAAATCATGAAAACAGCTCACAGGATTAGAATACATCTTAAAGTTTTCTAGCCCCACCACCCTCATGATACTTATCTCTAAATTTTTTGCCAAACTATTCTTCATAGGTGTACCTCAGTTGTAATGAACCACCTCAGGATTGGCCTCCTACCAGATGTACCAAACAATGCCGTTCCCTGCCCCCAATCCCAGAGTGCTGCTTACATACTTGATTAAGAGAAAGTTTTGGCATCTTCTGAACCTAGAAAGAGGTCTCTTATTGATTGTTAATTGAAGGTGTGTCCGTTAATTTTAAGCTTTAAACACCTCATGTGCCCTTAGCAATTAGACTTTTGTTTCTAACTTCCTCAAAATCTACATTAAAAGACATTCAATAATTGGAATGTGAAATGATGTAAGAGGTAGTGGTGTGCTGAAATAGGCTCCTACCTGCTTGTATGGCTCACTAGTTGAGTGACATTGAGTTAAGTGACATCCCTTTGGTAGCTTGAAATCAGCCATGGTGGGATCATTTACACCACAGAAAATGGCGAGTGATTTAAATCCCCCTCACTCCAGCCAACTGTTAAACATTTACCAGTATACTACTGCATAAGGAGGTGTACATAATTGAATATTAAAGGAGATAACAGGTAAAATGCATGCCAGATACTCTGCCTTAAAGAAACCAGATGAATTAAGAGGTTCTGGCTTTAAAAAATAAATATTATGGTAATGTAGATAACTGAAAAAATGAAAGATAAAAGAACCTTAAGCTAGAGACTATTATAAAAATATCCCGTCTCTCAAAATGACTTGTTCTCTTTGGGGTCAGTTCTCAAAATGACTTGTTTTCTTTGGGGTCAGTTTTTTATAACTTCTTCAGGAAACTTGAAAATTTACTTAGATTACTTGCAAAAAAAACACTTTTCTTTGCAAATATTCTATATGGAGGAATCACCACATAGTTTTGGATAACTGAGCCATGAACTGAAAGTCTCTGAGTTGACTTGCAGAAGCATTTTACAAAGTAATGATACCCACTTTTAAAAAATCTATGATTACGTATGGATGTGATAATCTGTAGCAGCACTATCAGATAAATAATACATATTTAAAAAATTTCTGTAATTACATGTTTACCCGATAGGCCAGAACGACTCTGTCCCAAGGAGCTGTTACAGACTGAGTAAATAATACATGTTTTAAAGTCCATAATTACATATGTAAACGATAGACTATCGAGTAAATAATGCACATTTTAAAAAGTCCATAATTATATATTTACATGATAGTCTGTAAATTCTGTAATTACTTATTTACACAATAGACCATAACAGCTGTTACAGTCTATTATGTTAACTCTCATAGAATTATATTATGGATTTTTAAAAACACCATAAAGAACCTAAGGAATGAAATGATAGCAATGAAATAAAATATAAACTTCCACTTATTATAGCTCTCTCAAAAGAGGAGAATTTTGAGTTCAGGTGAAACTCATGACTGATACTTTATCAGTAATTTCTGACTTAAAATTTATTCACAAAAATATAGGTTAAGGAATCAAAGGATGAGGAATAACTGGGCAGTATGTATTAGGCCAAGTTTTTAAGCATTTCCAAGGATAAAACTTACTCTTGGTGGCATAAATAAAGACTTGTATGTAACTTTTATGTTTTTTAGACCTCATAAAATTGCAGTGGAGCATAAAAATGAAAACTGTATTTGTGTCTTTTATGTATTATTTAAGTATAGTAGAATTAAAATACTGTAGAATATTCTCTGGTTTATACCTAATGATAACATGTTGGGGCATATTCGTGTAGGCTATATATAATGATAACATATGCATTTGTGTGTTTTTTGTGGGAATTACAGTTGCTTTCTTGACCTTTTAAGGGTCCTCATGGGTTAAGGATTCATACCATACATTTTATGGCTCAGCTTCTGAATTTATTCTAAAGTTAAATACAAGATCAATGCAACTAAATGAAACTTCTATCCGTAATGACTACTAAATAGCAAGGCTCAATCAAGCAAGTTAGAATCTGTCATTTAGTGATATTGGACCACATATTCTTAGTTACAAAACATAGTATAGGAGAAACCTTTGATCCTATTTGTTAGGTATTATTTTGTAAAATATTTGACAGCTTAAAGTAAGTGAGTGCTTGAGTTTCAGAGAACTGTTGTAGAAAAGTTAATCTTCACATCTCTTAAAATTTATTTTCATTTCACATTTGAGCTGTAGACCCCTGACAAGTCTCAGCAATACTGTGGACAAAGTTACTTAAACCAGGGGCTTTCAAATTTCTTTAAATGCAACTCCTGATAAGAAATATTTAATGTTAGTACCCAGTATGCACATACATATATACCAAACTTTTACAAAACCATACATACTCTTATGAAATGTAATATACTCTGATATCTGTTCTTTTGTATTCTATTCCATTGTGTAAAAATGCTGGTTGTAACTCACCAAATTGATTTCATGATCTACAAATAGGTCACATCTGCAATTTGAAAAACACTGAACACTGATTTAGAGAATGCTTTTTTCTTTTCTTTTTTTTTTGCTGGAGTATGCAGGATTTCCTTACTTTATACTAGGTAGACAAAATCTGGTTACATTTGAGATGAAATGTTTTATTGGTGGATCATATTTGTATAATCTAACAAAAATGACTCATTATTCATGAGTCCAGAAATATATTAAAATATTATAAATTTTTCTCATATATGTCTAGTTTTACAGATCTTGAAATAGAGCATCCTAGTATATATTATTCTAGAGTTGTGGTTATTATTGAAACTGTAGAAATTATTTAATGGGAGCTATGCAGAGTGATAAATCAGATACTCAGAATGTCCTGCTTGAGAAGGGATTTATTTCATGGGTATTGTTGATATTCCCAGTGCACATTTGGAATCAGACAAGAAAAAAAGGAAATAGTAACCAGAAATGATAACTGGTCTGAAAGAGCATTTCATCTTCTTTGTATGGTAAGAAAGTCCTTGAATAATAAAATATAATAGGGTATTAAAATGTATCTAAATTTTAATGAGTGAATTAACTTGACACTTAAGATCTGAAATGAAAAAGTCACCATTAATTTGTAAATAAAGTTAAATATTTTAAAAATTATTGTTTTACTCTCCTTTCCATTATATATGTTAATGTTCACGAAAATACAGTATGCTAAGATTTTTTTTTCAGAAGCCATGCCTCTGATTGTGTAATGGAAGTTCTAAAATTGGTAAATATTCACTAAACAAATATCTAAAATCTATACTGACTGCTAGTCTCTATCTCGTCAATACTTTACATTTGGTGACCAGGGAGAATGGAAGGAGTTTCTTCAAGTATTCCTCAGTGATCTCTGTAATGTTCATGACTCTGAATAGGCTCTGTGGGTAGAATATCTTCATACCACAGCTAGTTTATATTTGTCAATTAGTCATAATGTCAAATACATGTCATGACAAATCTTTTGAGTTTCAAAAAACATCCGCTCTGCTGTTGTTTCACCCATTTCTTCTCCTGCATTTCTTCCCTTAGAGTTCAGCTCTCCATATATCCAGCCTCTCAAGCTCCTAACTCCCTCCCTGTCCTTCATTCTTCTTCATTCTTCCTCTCTTCATTCTTCCTGACTAGTCAATGCCACATCTTTTATGGTCTATTTCCTAAATATATCTTGAACTTGCCCCTTGTTTCCTTTCCGACTGCCATTTCCTACGTTCAGACCCTCATGATTTCCTCCCTGGATTCCTCTAAGCCTCTGGAGTGATCCTCCTGCCTCCAGCCTACTGCTATCACTTTTGTCTTCCCCACAGCTATTGGGGCAGTTCTAAAAATGAGATCATGATCATGGCGCCCTCTGCTGAGGATTCCCTTTCCCTTTGTTTTCTCTGACCAGCTTTGCTCATCCTTCACAACGTGGAAACAGCGCCTCCTCCCATAGGCCTTCCCTGCCTCCCTGCGTCCCCATAGCACGCTGAGTGGGCCTAGTAGTACCTTGAGCATAGCTCTATTAGGGCACTGTCAAACTATTTTACTGCGTGTTTGTATCTCTTCCTCATTAAATTTTAACTTCTTAAAGGTAATGACCTTATCTCTTTGGCAGGAAATATTAAGTACCCAATAAATATTTGTGGAATGATTAGATGGCAGAACCACTGTCTGAAAACATTAACCTCCAATTCAGGCTGGTATTTTTCAATTAGATTTGTCATAAGTTGAACTTGATCTTTTCAATGGTTACTAGAGAAAATAGAAATAGGGAATGGAGAAATAGGAGACACAACTTAGAAAGATGAAAATTTCCCTTCTAATTACAGAGTTGATCAGGAATTTTGTGGTTCTAGAATCCAAACTGTAAAACTACTGCTTCCATCGCAAAGATTCATTGCTACTGTAATGATTTCTTTAAAAACATTATATATTAAAGAAAGGTATTGAAATCTACTCCCTTCCTGAATGTTTTATAAGTATTTATAAATTATTTCCACATTGCACATAGCAGCTTTTTCTCAAACTCTATACCCAATTTGGATGTTGCAGTTTTAAAATGTAGACCACTTATTTAAAAAGAACATTTCTTTAGCTATATTCTGCAACTATGTATGGACATTATCCATACATGGGTAATTTGTTTTTTTCTGAAGGAATTTTCCTCTTGCTCTTTTGAAGTTTTGGAAGTTTGTGATTTAATAGCAAATGATTGCATAACTTTTCTGTTGTAATGTCGAGTACGTATGTGTTGGAGAAGTTATTTATTTTATATGCATTTGTTGTTTTCTTTTTTATTATTATACTGGAATTTGAAGACAGAGAGAGATTTCTTCCCTGCAGTGTTAACTACAGAAAGGGCTAGCATTATGGAATGTCACTTGACTGGCTCTTATAATGATAAATATTTCCATGACAAAACCTACTGTGAACCTGTCTGTATGCTACAGAAATTTCTCTCTCCCTTGGCTACTACTTTACTTCAAGAAGAACATAGAGAAAATATAATAGATTACTTCTAAACACTCATCAAAAATTAAATAAAACACAGGTAAAATAAAGGCTATCTTTCCCTTTATATTATTCTGCTATCAGTTCTGCAGTATGTAGATTTTATTCATTTTTTTTTTTTGCCCTTATTCAAAGTTGATGCTCTTGGTGGTGCTATTGTCCATTTATAAATACGCCTTGAAATTCAGGGTGTGTGCCAAAGATATTGATAAGCTAGATTCTTTGTCTAGTGACCATTCATTTATTTATTCATTAAAAATATTGAGTACCCATTGGACATGCAAAAATGAACACAAATTCTGGCCTCAAGTAGTGCAGAGTCTAGAAGTGGCAATAAGACATGTACATAATATGACAAAAGTAAAAAAGTGATATGAAACTCTAACCGCTTCTTACCGGCTCCAGTGCTTGCATGAAGTGTGTGAGTCACTATCATCTCTTGCTTACATAACTACAGGGCCTACTAATTGGTCCCCCTACTCCTACTTCTCACACACCCCAGCACTCTCAACACAGCAGCCAGAAGCTCCTTTTAAATTAAAAGTCAGATGATGTCACTCCTCAGCTTCAGAACTCTGTAATAGCACTCATTTCACTGCCATGATATGTCCCTTCAAACCCCCACACCAATGGCCTCTGACCTTATTTCCTACTACCTTTCCCCTCCCCAGGTTCCCTCAAGCCCCTCTGGCCTCTTTTTTGTCCCTCAACAGCACCAGGCGCGTTTCTAGTTCTTTGTTCTAGGTCTTCGCCACAGATCTATGTTACTAATGCCCTCACCTCCTTCAAGTCTTTGCTCAGATGTCACCTCTAAGTAAACCCTATCTTAACCACTGCATTACAGGTTGCAACCCCCTACACTCCCATCCCGTTACTCTGCTCTACATTTCATGTTCCAAAGAATCTATCACCTTTTAAATGCTACGTGATTTTTTTTGTGTATTCTATTTATTGTTGTTTCTCCTTGTTAGAATCTCAGCTCCATAAGGCAGGGGTCTTTTCCTCTTTTCACTGATGCATCTGAAGCTCCTAGAAGAGGACCAGCCCATAATAAGTGCTCAGTAATGTTGGTTGAATGAATGAAAAGATGAATGAGAGTTACAGGTAGAATGTTATTCAAATGTATAGGAGAAAGAGACTTATTCTAAGAAGAAAGGACTGGGAAGGCCTCAATGGAGGTTTATCTAAATTAGATGTTGATATATGAGTAAGGTTTGGACACATGCAAATACATTTCGGTGAAACAGTTTAGCTTGTCATTTTAAGTTTTCTTTTACCTTTAATATTGTCTTGTAATTCATATTCATAATATTTGTGTTAAAGTCAATTAAAAGGGCACATTGAAGATAGGATTAAGTGCAGAAAGAAATAGGAAAACAACTGGTTTTTTTGGTAGGAGAGTATACTTTCCACCTAAGTCTGTATAACAGTTCATTTTGCTTTGTAGTCCAATCTCTCCAGACTAAAACGAAAAAAAGAAAATAAAAATTATTATAGCAATCACATCGTCAGTCACCTTCCTCCTGCTCTTTCAAAATTATCTCAGAGACCTGATGTCCTCAAAGCCTATTTCTATTTAACTAAACATTCATTAAATCCAACATATGGTTTAAAAATTATTTCTGTTATTTGGATGTTTTGCAGCTCTTTAACTTCTTTTTGACATATTTAGAGAAAAAATTACTATAAGTGTTAACATCAGATAATCAGCCAGTATAATATAATGCTAACAACAACATAGTTTAGCTTATAGAGAAATCCTATATTAAAGTGCCTGCCTGATTTCTGCCTTCTTTTATTTCTTACTTAAACTGCTCAAAATGAAGCTTTTACTGCAGCACCAAACACTGAACTCAGAAGCTCAATACTAAAATGGCTGGAGGCCATGCTGAAAATTAAGCAGCAAAGAACTAAGGAACAACATGAAATACTATTTCAAGTGATGCTTTGCTAATTTGGCAAGATGCTGTTGCTAAGGTACTGGTTTTCTCTGCCTGCTCGCCTCTTATTCTTTCTTGACCACACTACAGATAGGCTTTTATACTTGTCACTCTACTGAAATTCCCTATACTTATCTTTGACATCTCACGGCATCTGATGCACTTGAAACACTTTTTTGGTGTTGGTGAGTATTCCTGAACATCACACCTAGGGTCACCTTCCTACCTCACTGGTCCTTCATCATATATCTCGGCTAGATCTTCCTCCCACTCCCCCTCATTGCCACCTGAACATATTGGTGTGTTCTGGGACCAGTCTTCACATGTCTTATACTCTGGATCTGCACTCACTGTTGGGGCAATACACTATTCCCATGGCTTAGATCCCATGTACGTACTGATGACCACAAGTGTTTTTCTCTAGCACCTGCCTCTCTTCTAATCTCCAAGTGCTTATCATCATCTAATAGACATCTCAAAATTAGCATGTTTAACACAGAACACTTGGTTTCCACTTAGCCTCACTCTGCAAACCCTTTTCCTGCAGTGTTCTGTATTTCAATCAATATACCACCACCATTGCCATTTATTCAATTACTTAGGCAAACCCTTGACTCATCCTAGATTCCTCTCTTTTGGACCACACATCCAACCCATTAGCAATTTCAGCTGGCTATATTATCAAAATATATTCTATATTTGGCCCTTCTTCCCAATTTTCTTTGTCCACCCTATTGAAAATAGCACCCGCTGTGGGTCACTTTTCCTGCTTCACTTTCCCCATGGCAGTTATCGCTATGAATTTATGTTATGGTATAGTGCCTGTCTCACCACGACAATGTGAAGGCAATGTGTACCTGCCTGTTCCCTGGCACATGGTAGGCACTCGATAATTTTTTGAACAAGTGAATAGATGCTGAATAAATATACATTATTTAAGTCTGATTTTATTTATTTTTGCCTCTGTTGTTTTCCCTAATTCTTTTTTCCTCAATAAAAACATGTCATGTTTTAACCACTCTACATGTCCTGTTAAGGGTGATTTAAAAAAAAAATTATATTAACCAAAAAATAGTATAGATGATCCTGGAAAACTTGGAAAATATTCACTGGAAATTATAAATCTTCACCCATTTATACTCTGTCTGGCATATTATATTAGCTTAAGATAATTCAGATACTGGCTGCAGTTTTTTAAAAAAGGTTTCCTTAGAGATATAGATTCCCATCAAAACCAAATACAAAAAGAACATGAAGCAGAAAGAGATACAGAAAGACAGAATATGAATATTTAGTGCTTTCTGCATAATTTTCATTCAGTCCATGAAGACCTTGTAGAAACTAGATCAGTTATTTCCTATTTGCCTTGACCCAATTCAACCTATAGCCCTTAGGCTGGTCAGAACTGGAACTAGGTTTTTGACAGATGTTAATAGAAAGTTAACAGAAAATCATGGAGATAAAAAAGTGAGAAATGAAAGCAAAGTGTCAGCACAGGGGTGAGCTGCCCAAGTATCTATGCACCAATAACCATAAGAAGACAGACTTATGGGCTCCCACTTGGTCTTCTTCATCATCCCACTCACCTCAGGGTCTTCTCACCTTCTTCCTGTGCTGGGTTCTGCATTGATGAACAAGAAATTATAGCACACTTTTTAGTTCTTCCTCTCCCACTGGGGTACAAGTCAAGCTGAACAACTAGGACAGTCGTACCTTTAGGATCAATTTTCCCTTGATGTTTTGGTCGTTCTGTGTGTGTATTTGCTATTAGAAAATTCTCAAAGGAGAATCCTAAGTAATGTCAAAGTGGACCTATGTGGAAATTTCTGTTAGAAAAACTGCTCCTCCCTGGAGGAATCATTTACCTATAGCAAAGGCAGATGATTCTATGGTCACTGGGCCTAAGAATGTATCAGTGCACGTGATTTCGAGCAGCCTGCTTGGGTATTTGTTATTTGATTAAGTAACTGTCTAGATTTTTTGAACCAATAATTTATTTAATTTAAACTAATCTGAGGGGTTGGTGGAGAAGCCAGTCTGAGTCAGTGAAAATAATGAATTGTGATTTAAAAAAAAAAAATGCAATTTATTTTCACTCACAAAAACCTAGCAGCTAATACTTTTGTCAAGTAGAGATCCTGCCAGATCCAAAAGATAAGAATTGCTTTATATACAAATGATCATGCCAAAGGACTAAAGAAACAGTTGTGTTGCATTAAAGAGGTTAGTACATATGCCCCTAAAATCTTATTTTTTGGATTGATATAAACCAATCCCAACTATTTCCTAATTTTTACAAATTTAAAATTATAATAGACAAAGAATTTGTAAACCACATGTTTGAACAAAACTCTGGGACACACAAACTGAAAGATAAGGGCAGAATATTTTAAATTAAAGGTATTTTAGAAAATCTGGACCAGGCTACTACCCCAAACATAAGACACATAGTTAGCCTGCGCCCAACTCTTTCATGTCTGCAAGATTAGAAACTGAGGCCAAGGATGTAATGTGTTTCAATTATGATAATTATAAAATTTCTTTTCTTTTCTTTTCTTTTTTTTTTTTTTTGAGACGGAGTCTTGCTCTGTCGCCCAGGCTGGAGTGCAGTGGCGCGATCTCGACTCACTGCAAGCTCCGCCTCCCAGGTTCACGCCATTCTCCTGCCTCAGCCTCCCGAGTAGCTGGGACTGCAGGTGCCTGCCACCCCGGCTAATTTTTTGTATTTTTAATAGAGACGGGGTTTCACCGCGTTAGCTAGGACGGTCTTGATTTCCTGACCTCGTGATCCGCCCGCCTTGGCCTCCCAAAGTGCTGGGATTACAGGCGTGAGCCACCGCACCCGGCCGATAATTATAACATTTCTGATGGATATAGGTGAAAGTAAGTTTGAATACAACCCACCCAAAACAGTGTTTGAAGATGTTTTCCTCAACCGTTCTTCCTATTTTATACTTTGTTGTATTTACAAACTGCTTCAAAGTTTTGCTTAAGTATATCTATTGGATTATGTGACATTTACATGATAGGTTTCATAGGTTTTTAAAAGTCATTCCTTCTATTTATTAATTCAGTGAATACAAATCTGTCATGATGCATTGATAATCCCCTTAGTTTTTATTATTTTGTGTTGAATATATTAATGTTTCCCTTCAAACTCACTTTTTTAACTTCATTATAGGTGTGCTCATTCTTTTTTGTTGTACTGGTTTAAATGCGCAATTAAAATTAATTAAGTGCTTTTGTCCAGAAGTTTTCTTGTGTTGTAATAGCTGTAAGGTTAAATTGGGCTGGGAGTGGTGGTTCATGCCTGTAATCCCAGCACTTTGGGAGGCTGAGGTGGGCAGATCACTGAAGGTCAGGAGTTTGAGACTAGCCTGGCCAACATGGTGAAACCCCGTCTCTACTAAAAATACAAAATTAGCCGGTTGTGGTGGCGGGCACCTGTAATCCCAGCTACTCAGGAGGCTGAGGCAGAAGAATTGCTTGAACTCGGAAGGCAGAGGTTGCAGTGAGCCCAGATCGCGCCACTGCACTCTAGCCTGGGCAACAGAATGAGACTCCGTCTCAAAAAAAAAAAAAAAAAAAAAGATTAAATTGAAGAGCAAAAGAAAGATTCAGTTTGAAATCACTACAGTCTATGGCTACTAGTTTTCAATTCATATGTGAGTAAGTGTATTTCATAGTTTTAAAACTCCACACATGATTCTTTTATGTCACGTGTTTTAAATTAGGCACAATAATGTGTGTGTTAGAAACCTACTTGGAGTTAGTTGATGCAGAGATGTTTGGGGACTTCACATCCATTTTCTAATCTCTAGTTCTCATATACTTCCTAAACTTGGAAAAATTTTGCATTGTACAAGCCATGAAGAAATTTGAATGTTGAAACAATTATTCTTTTCTTTTTCTTACTTCTGTGGAAATTAAACAACAAAAAAACTTTGTTAATTCAAGACTGTATTATGCCTGAGGTTTTAAATACACAAAAGTCAGTAAAATAAAAGTGATGGTTCCTAGAGCAAGTATAATTCAGCTATATTGCACATATATATTAAAGCATAAAAGTTAACACCATATGTACAAAATACTACACGGGCCCATTTGTGTCACAACTGATAAATGCACAACTCCTATAGGAGCTGTGAGCTCTTATAAGAGCCCAAGATTTGAGTCCCAGATATGAGAGAGGTTTAGGTACGGTTGTGAGAATACTGCTGCATTTCTTCTGTAAATTTTAAATTTCAACCAGAAAGCTGTTGAAGCTAAAATTTCATTAGGGAAACAGTGTTAGCACTTCTGATTTTTACAGTCACAGATTTGTTTGTATATTATAAATTCAGAATGGTCTTTGCCATTTATTGGTTGTTGCTGGTCATTTATTGTTTTCAACAAATATTTATTGAGAATTTACTAGGTACCAGATTACCCTAGACACTTGGGTCATCAGCAAACCAGACAGTAATTCTTGCCCTTGGGAAGCTTACATTCTGGTGAGGACAGGCAGACAGTAAACATAACAAATAAGTATATTATAAAGTAGGGTAGTAGTTGTTAAGTGCAATGAAAAAAAAAAAGAATAGAGAAGAGGTATACAGAGGACAGGAAGTTGGTGGATACGTTGCAATATATTAAAATAGGAGAAGAGGTGAGAAAAGGCTGGAAGGCCATAGGGAGTCAGCCAAGTTCATAGACAGAAGATGGTTTCAGGCAAAGTGAACAGCTGGAGCAAAGGCCCAAAGGCAGGAACATATCTAGCATATTTGAGATGCCGCCTCAGTGTGGCTAGAAAGGCCTGAATGAAAGGGAGAGTAGTGGGGGACAGTATCAGAGAGTTAACAGAACACTGGCTCATGAAGGGCCTGCGGGTCATTGTCTGGATTTTGACATTTTAATTTGAGCAAAAGGGTGTAATCCCACAGCTTTAAGCAGAGAAGTGACATGATATGATGTTACTTCTAAAAGGGTCACTCTGGCTGTTTTTGTTGAGAGTAAACCATGCAGGGACTACAATGATAGTATGGAGCCTCATTGGAGAATCAGAATAATCCAGGCTATATGCTTGAACCAGGCTAGCAGCAGTGGAATGGGGAGAGAAATGTTATGTTTTGGAGCTAGTCTGAAGGTAAAACCAACAGGATTTCCTAATGAGTTGAGTGTGGAATGTGGCAGTTAGAAAGAAATAAAAGGTGACTACATACAAAGTTTTTGGCTCAAGCAACTGGAAAGATGATGTTGCCATTATCGTAGATGTATAATTATTGGTGAAATATGTTTGGGAAGGAAGATTATTTCAGTTTTGGACTTGTTAAATTTGAGATATCTTTTAAATATCCAAGTGGTGTTGGAATCATTGCATCTAAGAGTGTGAAATTCAAGAGAAAAGTCTGCTGTACCTGTAGATTGGGGAGCCATGAGCTTCTAGATAGTATTTGAAGCCATAGGTCTTATTGAGGTCATCAAGAGGGTATAGATGGAGAAGAGAGTAAGGCCCTGGAGCCCTCCAACATTAAGAGGTCAGAGGAAAGAGGAGGAACCAACAAACGAGACTGAGAAGAAATGACCAGTGAAGGGAGAGAAAAATGATCAACTGGGTCAAATGCTGTGGATAGATTAAATAATCTAAGAACTGATCATTGACCACTGAATTTAGCAACGTAGAAGTCATTGGAGACCTTGATAAGAGTAGTTTCAGTAAAATGGTGGGGACAAAGCTTGATTGTAATGGTTTAAGTGAAAAAATAGAGAATATGTTTATGCCCAATACTTTTGATATATTTTGCTGAAAGGAGGAACAAGGAAATGGGATACTTGGTGAAGGCAGTGAGATCAAGAAAGTGATATGCTGGTAAGTATTTAACAACCAGCTCTCTGGCAAAAATAAAAATTTTAAAGAAATTTTGAGTTGTAGCTTTTGCCAATTTCAGTAGTGCAAATTCTCCTATTATGGCTGATTTTACTGAACACAGAGTTGAGAAGAGTTGGGCACAACTGGCTTTCAAGGGCTGGAGTGAGCCAGCTCCAGGACACTACTGGGTAATAGAAATTTTGTTTTGTTTTAAAATGAAAGAAAAAAGTAGTTTGTATATCTTAAAGGGACGAATTCAATAGAGATTTAAAATTTGATGATCTAAATAAAAAAGGGGGTGAATTTCTGGTTGAAATTTTCCATAGTAGGCGAGACAGGATGTGATGCGGTGCACACAGAGGGATCAGCTTTAAATAGAAACCTGTATAGTTCATCTTTGTTAATAGTGGGAAAGCCAAAGAATATAGTGAGTATTCTGTAGGTTTTTTGGTGACAGGAGCCTCACTGTTTATTTGTATGGAAGAGAAACCCACCTAAAATAAATTAAGCCTTTAAAAATAATGAATATTTGGAAAGATATAGTGATAGCTCAGAAAACCTAATGGGACTAACTGTAGTTGAGCCTCATGAGGAAACTTACGTCTTTGTTCTTAAGTTTTAGACATATCCTTCTCTATCTCTAGAGACTGAATTTCTTTCCTTCATTTTTGCATGTTCCAAATTCGGCTTCCCTGTTCAAGTGTCCAGTAGAGAGAAGCAAACTGCAGATAAGAGAACCTGTTACCTAACTTGTGTCAGTCTCCACCTGTGGTCCAATCAGCTTATATCAAGAGGGCAGGAGCTACTGACCAGTTAGCAAAGAAGATTCATTTTAGGGGAATGGGGTGGGTTCTCTGGGCAGGATAGGGCTAAGGATGAAAACATAGACATCTTCAATATGGTCATTAACAGTTTGGGGAAAGTATTGAATGAATGAATATCTTCTGTGTCATGCTTTTTTTATTCATTTATGTATTCATCAATTAATTATTTATGAGCTACTATGTGCCAATCATTGTGGTATACAGTGGAGCTATGAAGATGAATAATTCTTCTCCCTATCCTAAGAGCATTTCCATTTTTCTAAGGTGTTTACAGTCTTCCTCAGTATGAAAATGATAGTGGTGATAGCACTGGTTGATTATGTCTTAAAGATCAAATATTGAAAACATTTTATACAAACATTAGTCATTAGCCCAAAGACATCACGTACCTACAAGGCATTTGTTAAAAATCATTTATTGCCCTTTTTTTTTTTTTTTTTTTTTTTTTTTTGAGACGGAGTCTTGCTCTGTAGCCCAGGCTGGAGTGCAGTGAGTGCAGTGGTGCCATCTTGGCTCACTGCAAGCTCCACCTCCTGGGTTCACACCATTCTCCTGCCTTAGCCTCCCGAGTAGCTGGGTGGGACTACAGGCAGCCGCCACCACGCCCAGCTAATTTTTTGTATTTTTAGTAGAGTTGGGGTTTCACTATGTTAGCCAGGAAGGTCTCCGTCTCCTGACCTTGTGATCCGCCCGCCTTGGCCTCCCAAAGTGCTGGGATTACAGGCGTGAGCCACCGCGCCTGGCCTTATTGCCATCTTAATCTCTTATTAAAAAATGAATTATTTTTGGTAATTTTTTTATAGTTGGTTTCATAGGTTGTTTTTTTGTGAGAAAAGGAGCATGAATTCCTTGCTTTCATATGCTAAAAAAGTTATATTACCTCATGCTGATATTTAAAATAATTCATTTGTGTTTCATATTAGTTTTTGAATCATCTAACATATGTACATTGTTAAAGGCTTAAACATTATAGGAGAGAATGAAATTAAAAGTTAACATAACATCTAGCTCCCTGAGCTCTTCTTCCTTAAACCTTCTAGTCTCACTTCACCGAAAGAAATACTGCCAACATTTCTTATGTAGACTTTGGGAAACGTTTAATGTATATTTAAGATATTTATACACATATAGTACGGTCCTAACTTAGGATTGAAAAGCACTTGGCATTTGTTCTTTGAAATTCCCTGCATATATTTCTTCTTTAAAAATACTTATGTTATTGGATAAGAAATAACGAATCCCAACTTTTCCTCCTGAACAGACCTGAGACAGAGATCCTAAGTAGCTGAATTTCATCTTGTAATACTAATCCCATTTTACTGAATTGTGTTTCAGAGAAGTTTGTCACTTGTCCATGCTCATATAATTAACAAATGACACAAGTGAGATTCAAAACCATGCTCACATTATACTGGACTCTACTGTCTTCCAAATATTCTTGCCTCTTAATGATAAACAACTATATTATTTCTTCATGAATTTTTAAAAAATGTTATTTTTCCAAGCTTTTGCAAATGCCTGTTAATAACAGAGGTGTCACCTTTGAAATATTATGCTCTTTATGGCAATGAAAATAACTGCAAGCTTAATTTTTTAATTTAAAAATTTTTATGTTTCCATAAATGCAGAACATTTTGCAATTCAGAATCCTGGATCTGATTATTTCGAAAAAATGTATTGGGGCTGTTTTCCTGAAGGATACTTTACTTTTTCATGTGGTCTTTGGTTGCCAAAGTAGGTTGACAGATTCCCTCTCGTACCTTCCTATAAGAACAGCAGCAGGTGGTGGTCTTGGAAAGAGGGGATGCATATTTTTAAGCATTTTTTAAAGCCAAGTATTCTGGCAAATAATTTCTCTCTTGGCTGAATACTTGAGCCCCAGCTTTGATATGTTTGTTCTCTCTAAAAACAACAACAACAACAACAACAACAACAAAGCACACACACACACAAAAACCAGTATCCTCTAATTCCTCTATTTAAGGCTGGAAAATAGAATAGAACCTTAGTATCCTTCAATAAGAATTCTGTAATTTTCATTGCAGGTAGAGAAAAGATGGAAGGGAGTATAGCTCTTCAGAATTTGTCCTTATATGTTCTAATCTGTAGATGATGGGAATCTACAAAGCCCATCATCAGTAAATGATTATTTATTTTTGAATGAGCTGTGTTGCCAGACATAACATTTTTTTTACTATCTGTGTTTCTTTTTTTTTTCACAATAAAATTTTATATTCATCCACAAAAAAACATCTTGCAACCTTCGGAAATTGTAGAAAGAAAACAGTGGGGAGCATATCCTTGTGGAGCGACTCTGGTTGTAACTGGTGATTAGTATTTTGGTCTTTTGACTTCAACCCCATCAGCTTCCATCTTCTTCCTCTTCTCAATGATTGCACTAATCTTCCACTGGCAATCGAGCGCTGCTTTGTCATTGGTTTCCTTGAAGCGTCTGGTTTTCCGCCCTTCAGACATTTTGATACCATACTGGAATGCAGCCTTGGGCAAAGCCTCTTTGTTGTTCATATACTCGCTGTAGTCTTCCTGGGTATCAAAGTCCCAACGGCTTAAGGTTCTCTTCTTGTTACCCTGGTCCATTTTGCTATAATCCACCTCCTCATCACTATCCACAGCCATGTCATCCATCGTGGCTGGATAGCACTCTGCATAACTGTTGGACATGCCAAAGAAATCTCTCAGCTGCTTTTTGTCTTCTGCAATTTTCAGCGATTCTGTGCCTTCCCAGCCAGCAGACCCAGCAAACTTTTCATTGATGGACTTGATCAACTCCTTGGCCGACCCAGGTCCTTTGTCAACGTCCACGGACTCATCATGTACTTTTGGCTTCTCAAAGTAGCTGTGTCTCTTCTTTTCCTCTTCTCTCTCTCGGTCCTGCTCTCACTCTCGTTCCCGATCTCGTTCTCGTTCCCGATCTCGTTCTCGCTCCTGATCTCGTTCTCGCTCTCGCTCTCGGTCACGGTCTCTGTCTCCTGATCACGCTCCCGTTCCCGATATCTCTCCCGCTCCTTGTCCCAAGGTGTCTTGATTGTGGAGGGTGTATAATCCCCAATGTCTTCGAAAATACTCCTGTCAGCCTCAGCAGGTTTCTTCTCTTCCAGCTTCCCTTTATCCTTCTTCTTAAGCTTCTTGTTACGGGTTCCCTGCCTCAGGTATGAAAGCAACTGGGTAAGCTTGCTAATGACAATATCATTTGTGGTCAGTATGGTCTGGGCCTCCATGGTGGGGCAGTCAACCTTGCTGCGGATAAGAGTGGTGGGGATATCTGTGTCAGCTTACTCATCATCCAGGCCTACCACATAGGCCATGCGGCCCGGCAGGAACAACTCATTCCGCTTATATGCTTGTTCTTAAAAAGCACTCGGTAAACATTGCGGCCCAGACGTGTTTTAAATTCAATTTTATTTTCAGGATCCTCATCTTTCTTGGTTTCTTTCTGGGGCTTTTCCATCAGTTCCTCTTCCTCTTTCTCTTTGCTGGCAATCTCAGCTCGTACCTTTTGAAGCAGAGCAAAATCCAAGCCTTTCACCAAATGGGTGTGTTCCATGTCACCACCCAAGAATTTGGACTCCTGGATCAACTGTCTTCTCTTCTCTGCAGCTGATTTGTCCGCCTTAGTAGTGGGGCCAACAGCCCTGTAGTTAGCTGTGGTGTTGATAAGCTCGGTTTCTTCATAATCTTTGTTCACTCCATCTCTCCGTTCCTTGGCACGACCCCGGTACTTCTCTGCTAGCTCTCTCTCTCTCTCAATTTCTTGTTGGCGTAGCTTAGCATAATAACTTTTCTTTTTCCTCCTTCGTGCAGCTGGGTCTTCATCCTCATTGTACTCCCTTGGCATCTCATGGTGACGTGACTTAGAAGGTGGTGCAGAGGTAGGTGCAGCCCTGGGGGTCATGAGAAGTTTCCTGAAGTCTTCATTGGTGAGTTTTGATTGGTGGAAGGAGTGAGGATCATCCACATCGTGGCCATCAGGGGCCAAAGGGTTGGAGAACGGCTCACTATCTCGCTCCGGCATTTTGTTATCATTCTTCCGCTGTCATCAACAATCGAGTCTCCAACCTACTATCTGTGTTTCTTGTAGTTATATTTTTATTTGTCTGTCTTTGGATAAGATGCTGAGATCCAGTTTTCTTTTGGAAACTTAGTTGTCTGCATGGTAAGGAAAATGTGCCTGTCTTAATAGTTAATGATTAAGCTATTAATCTGGGGATATAAAAAATAAAAACCAATAAAATTTCATCAGTGATGTGGGAAGTGAAAATATCTGTTAGGTAATACAGAGATTGAACAATTTTAACTTTGTTTATTGGCCACACATTCCTTTCCTCCCTCTGACTTAGCTGATACGCTCCTTCCTTTATCTTCCCAATGAGTCGGCCACATTTATTAAGAGCCCACCATATTTTAAACGCAATGTATGTGCTGAGGGTAAATACAAAATAACCGGAAAATAAGGATAATTAGCTGGAGGAATTTATAATCTAGTTTCCTTTTTTTCCCCTTTGCTTTTCCCACTCAACCTCTTTCTTTGTTTTATTCCATTTAATTTTTCATTCCTGGGGTCTGCAAGCATTCTATATGACTGCCACATTCCCCTTTTTCTTTTATGTGCTCTTTATTTCATTCAGGAATACAGTTCAGGAATTTTCATTTGTAACTTTTTTTTAACATATGCCAGTGCTATATGACTATGCCAAATAAGTAAGATTATAAATATTTTAAGACAATTTTATAGGTGTTCATAACACTATAGGTATATGTAAAGATGTGTAAAAATTATATATGTATAAAATCCTGAAGGGCTATGGATAGCTATGTGTTTCAATAATTGAAATAAACATTTATATATACTCTATGTTAAAATGACCAAATTAAGTGGTATTACTGATTAAACATATGTAGTTGTTAATATATATTTATCCTTAGCCATTTTGATTACAGTTAATTTTAGGGACTAATTACAATAACGTTTGACAGCTTTAATTAGACCCCATCCAAAAGTGCTGGGTCAACATGGATAAATAATTCTGAAAATACTCTTGATACACTTACAAACCTATAGGAATTACTGCTAAGACTTTGTCTACACTTAGCATTTCAGCATCCTATTTTCATTTTTACCACTAAAATTCCTTAAATCTGTTTTTGGTGGTTGACGGAAGAACTAATGTTAAGTAAAATAATATATCGTTTGCAAATATTTTGAGCAGCTAATTAACAATGTTCTAGATACACCCAAACCAACGAATAAAAAATTCTCTTTCTCACTTTCTTTCTCTTATCTTTTTTTTAAAATTCATTTTTTAAAATTTTATTTTTCCATAAGTTATTGTTATTAGGGTGCAGGTTGTATTTGTTTACACGAGTAAGTTCTTTAGTGGTGATTGGTGAGCTCCTGGTGCACCAATCACCCAAGCAGTATACACTGCACCCACTGCACCATATATAGTCTTTTATCCCTTGCCTCCCTCCCACTCTTCCCCCTAAGTCCCCAAAGTCCCTTGTATCATTCCTTTTTTTTTTTTTTTGAGACGGAGTCTTGCTCTGTCGCCCAGGCTGGAGTGCAGTGGTGTGATCTCAGCTCACTGCAAGCTCTGCCTCCCAGGTTCATACATTCTCAATGCCTCAGCCTCCCGAATAGCTGGGACTACAGGTGCCTGCCACCATGCCTGACTAAGTTTTGTATTTTTAATAGAGACGGGATATCACCATGTTGGCCAGGCTGGTCTTGAACTCTTGATCTCAAATGATGCACCCACCTCGGGGTCCCAAAATGCTGGGATTACAGGTGTGAGCCACCGTGCCGGCCCATTGTATCATTCTTATGCCTTTGTGTCCTTGTATCTTAGCTTCCACATATCAGTGAAAACATACCATGTTTGGTTTTCCATTCTTGAGTTACTTCACTTAGAATAATAGTCTCCAGTCTCATCCAGGTCATTGCAAATGCTGTTAATTCATTCCTTTTTATGGTTGAGTAGTATTCTATTGTGTATGTGTGTGTGTGTGTGTGTGTGTGTGTGTGTACATATATATATATCACAGTTTCTTTATCCACTTGTTGATTGATGGGCATTTGGGTTGGTTCCACGATTTTGCAGTTGTGAATTGTGCTGTTATAAACGTGTGTGTAAGTATCTTTTTTGAATAATGACTTCTTTTCCTCTGGGTAGATACCCAGTAGTATGATTGCTGGATCAAATAGTAGTTCTACTTTTAGTCTCTTATATTCTCAGTGGAGAAGAAGCAGAAAGGATTGAAGGGGTGGGATGACGACTTTATAAACCGATAGATTCTCAAAATGCCTCCCCTTATGCATCTATACTATCTATTCAACTCAACTTAGTTATATGGCATTGTGTTAGGTCATGATGGAAGAGAGGCATTGGTCAAAAAATAAACAAAATTAATAGAAATGCAATCAAATTTGCAAGTTTACTATGGTTAAACATAAAATATAATAATTATAAAGTTATTAAAAATGAACATTCTAGATATTAGAAGACATTTGTTTAGAAATACATATTAACTAATAAATGCTATACAGTACCTCCTGCTTCGTGCAAAAGTCTACGCCATCTACCCATCAGATGAGTAGCCATACAGTTAAAATATTCTCAACCTAATCTTAAAAGGATAATGCTTAACATTAGAAAAAATCTTGAAATTGTCAAACATTAGAGGAGGGGGAAAGTGTTACACAATTTGCATTATAATTTAAAATAGAGGAAGACTTTTTTAATTTGAAAAAGAAAATATAAATTAATTTATTTTGAATATGGTTATGTTCTTCAAGTAAGCTGAAAAACAAAAACAAAGAGACAAAGCCCTAAAGCCATGAAAAGGCCCTCTTCTCATGGTGACCTTGACAAAGCAATGTTGTCTCCCAATAGTCAACAAAGGGCATAGGGAATGTCTGCGTCAGGGTTAATCTGGGTGGACAAGGCAAGGTGTTTCTTGATGGTTTCTGAATGGAAGGTAATTTTGACGAATATTCTGTTTGGTTAACCTGATCAAAGCAACAACGTGGGACTCACATTTAACAAGTTGATAAGAATAAGTTAATGTGTTGGAGCCAGCATTTGTGACACTGAAATGAAAGTGTTTGGAGAGGAGGAAATTAGAGCCATGATTAGCTAGCAAAACAAGACCAAAATAGACTATCCTGATATTGGATATATTTTTTCTCAAAAAAGTATCTTTTTATTACAAAGTAATAAATAGTCCATGCAAAAAATTTTTAATGATACAGGAGTAGTGACCTGCCTCTCAAAGGCAATCACTCTATTTTGGTATACATCATTTCAGATGTGAAAACGTATCTACAAGGTCAGAAGTATATATATACACATACATATACGCACATATACATACATATACTTTTCATATAAAGTATTTCTATGTTTTCATATTTCTATATATATTTATATATACATTCATATATATGCATTCATGTGAATGTATATGTAAATAAATCTGAAAGTATATATAAACAAACGTATAAATATATTCATATATAGTATAGTATCTAAATCAGTTTCATCTTAAAAATAGTTGTATGTATTCCATTGTCTAAATGCATCATAATTAAATTAGCCAACCGGATGTAATTTTAATTAAGTTTACATTGACTCTATTAAAAATGTGTTTTTATTAGCTTTGTCTGAATTATGATTTTGGTGATCTATGACCTCTATGTCTCCATTACCCTGATTAACTAAAAATGGACTGCATATTATTAGAAAATGTCATAGGAGGCAGCATTTAAAATTAACTTTTAAGGTAAACTAAAAATCAAAAGACCTGGATTTTATTTCTAGCTTCAAGACTTAGATATTATGTAAATTAATTAAAACAATTTCAACAGTAGCAAACATATGGCAGATCTGGGGTTACGAATTTATTCTACAGGATTGTTTTAAATTTTTAAAGGAATACAGAGACATGTTGGTTGACAGCAACTCTCACAAAACTTTTCTAGGAAGTAGAATTAAGGCTCCAGCCAGAGTGACCATGAGTTTAAACCAGAGAAACATTTTTAATGTTATATACCTTTATATTAATGGAAAAAAAGAAGAAAATTATCTTATGAGATGGTTAATAATTTTCATTTTTATTTTTCTCATTTACATTTTTTTTTTCATGTTGGCTCATGCACTAAACTAAACTGTGATTCAAGGCTTGGTATATCCTGTAACTACACAGCAATTTCCAAAACTTACTTCCTTTTTTTTTTTTTGAGACAAGAGTCTTGCTCTGTCACCCAGGCTGGCATGATCTCAGCTTACTGCAACCTTTGCCTCCCAGGTTCAAGTGATTCTCCTGCCTCAGCCTTCCGAGTAGGTGGGATTACAGGTGCCCACCACCACACCCGGCTCATTTTTGTATTTTTAGTAGAGGCAGGGTTTCACCATGTTGGCTAGGCTGGTCTCAAATTCTTGACCTCAAGTGATCCACCCACCTTGCCCTCCCAAAGTGCTGGGATTACAGGTGTAAGCCATCTTGCCCAGCCAACTTACTTCCCTTTTAAAGCATCTTCAGTATTTTTTATTCCTTTAGATTCCTTCTCTTATTGTGTATTTTTGTTAGTGTTAAGCTTTCTTATATTAATTTCGTTTCCACAGTTCAATGAATTCTGAAACATAGGTTACTTCTGGATACCCTGTCCATGGTTACAGTTTTGGATTCCATTTGTTTTCCTCTAGATGACATTGATGGATAGGTAGCCCAGTAAGCTTTTCGTATTCTGGCATTGTTTTCTCTGTAGAGATTACTATCACATTTAATTTGATAATTTTTAAATAGTTTTTATCACCTGCTATATCCTTCTCTAGCTTTCTTTATATAGTATTACAAGCATTAATATATTAATATGTATATCCTATCCATCTACCTTCATGCAAGTGTTATATGTATGTGTTTGTGTGTGCATGTGTATATATATATATACACACCTATACATATATATACTACGTGAATTATAAATGTATGCATAGATAGATGTGATTCAGTTTCACTTTCTTTGTTGTGGATGACATAATTGTGTGCTCTCCTGTGGTGATATTCAAGTTCTGGTTTCATTTAGAGGATTAGGGTTGTTTTCTTTTTTTTGTTGGTATATATTTAGGCCCTTTCCTCACTGGCAAATTACATAAGCTCAAGTTCTATAGGCAAACCAGTTTCAAGAAAACTGGGGATACTTTGTACATTTTTAAATTATGTGTTTAGAGCTTAAAAACGGGGCATAATAATTTCTAAAGTATCCCTTTTTTGTATGCTTTGATAAGTACCATGCATAATATTGGATTTTATATACATTTTAAGGCTCTGATTCATAATGTAGATTGCAATTTAATAGAAAATTTAATTTTGTTAGAAGATATACTAAATATTTGATAGATGTCCTGAAGACAAATGTTGTGTGCTAAAAAGAGAGTCATAGTTTAGCAAAGATTAAGACAGAGCTGATTTCCCTGCCTATTAGTTGTGAGCTGAGCGGATTACAGGGGAGTATCCATTCCTTCAGGGAAGTCTAACTGGTACGATGTAATTTACTTTGGATTTTCAATATCTTTTGCTTACTTCATCTCCTAAAAGGATAACTTTGAAAGTAAATTGCAAAAGCGACCATATTAGACCCTTCTGATGAAGAATTAGAAAAACAGATCAATATTAGGTGAAGTGTGTATTTTTCTAAATCAGTATTAGCATGGCAACCAAGAAGTGATTTATATGCTTAAAATACAAATTAATCATCAATAGAGTTCTTACATCATTATTTACAGTTAAAATATTCAGGAGTCATAATTTAGAAAAAAAGGTATTTTAAGCTCCCCGTGACCTGATGATCACAATATTTGGCCATTTAGCATTGCTCTTGCAAGGTGGTGTCCTGCATGTAAAATCATATGCAGATGCAAATGTTCAGATTTTACAAATTGTAATAAATCCTGTAATTATGAGGCATAGTTAATTAGCCTCCTATGAACTGAAAGGCATTGTTAAGTACCCTAAGTGTCCTTCCAACATATGGGATGCACTGTATGTAGGGTGAAAGGATTCCTCCCCGCAATAATCTTTCAGTTCTTGTCCTTTCTCCTAGGTGACAATTCCATAATGCATCTATCTACTCAGAACTGAACTGAGACCTCCTATCCATTTTGCATAGGACACTGGACAGGCATTAAAATGGAAACAATATTTTTTCCCTCTTGATGCAGAGGAGATTTAAATTGGTACCCTGGAGGTAAAAAGGGCATAGCTCATCACCCAGTGCCCAGGCTGTAGGGGATTTTTTTTAAATAGTAAGTACAAGAACATGATTTTCCTTTCTCAGTTTTTGGGAATACAGTCATTTAGAAAATATTTTATTAGTATAATTGCTTATATGAATCATAACCTTTCAAATACTCTAATTTTCATGGATCCATTTTAAACATTGATTATTTAAGTTCTGAAAAAAAGGTGTGAGTGTGTGTATGCGTGTATTTCTGGATTTATTGTAATACAATCGTGAACTTCCATATAAATAAAGTGAAGTAAAGATTTAGAGCATTCAAATCAAAGTTTTTATTACTTACGTAAATACAAGTTTTTATTACTTACAAAAGTATTTGTATCTGTTATGGCTACAAGTTTCTATTTTATTTTTCTGTAGCCTCAGTTTTCGTTAGTTGCATTTTTTTATCTCGAACTAAAAAATTCAATATTCATCTAATGCATGCACATTTGGAAGATTATTTTACAGAATCAGTCTGTAGCTACAGTTTCTGTGTCTATAGATGGACAAGTTGAACCAGACAGCCACTTCATGATTCTATGAAATTTGAGACTGAAGCTTCCTGCCTTTTTAATGATCTGAGAATGAAGGCAAATTAAAATAATTTCTTTGAAATTAAATTGCATTTTCAGAAATAATTCTAAATATTATAACACCAGATCTTCCACTTCCTAATTCTCTGACATGTACCAGCACCACTGCCTACTGTAGGTGTGTTCCTTCTGAACTTTGCTATACAGGCCTAAGACCAGCACTTAAATACTTACAAATTGAATTGCACTGTGTTAGAAACTGGCTTGATAAAATAAATTACTATATCTTGTAGGTTAAGATTTGAGTTCTGCAATTGTAGCTGTTACAAATTACCTGAAAACCTTTTTATATTGCATTTCTTAAGGCTGTATTTTACAATTGCTCTAATAAAAAATTCTATACAAAAATTGTTTGATATTAATAGCAATCATTAACAACTTGATAGATTCTTAAGTATATTTGCAATACATTTAATCTTATTAAACTCAGCCTTGAGTTGTTTCTTCCAAATATTATAGGTCTTTATGAAGCTAGCAATATAAAGAAGAGATTTCAACCATTTTCGGCCAAAAATTAGGTTTAGCTTAATGGATCAATTTTTTTCTTATTAAACTGCATCTGACCAGTGCCAAGTAATACATTCAGCATTGATCTTTGTCTCACCCTGCTGTAGCTTGCATTCTCTTTATGTACATGAAAAATAAGGTGCCAGGAATGAAAACAATGCCTGTATAATACAAATATAGAATTTTTCTCAGACTTCCATTCAGTTTATCATTTCACTTTGTTATTAATGCTTTGCCTGCTGCTTTTCAGAAATGTGTTTTTAAAAAGCACATTTATTTCCATAAAGAATGCTTTCTTCTGTTGTAATTATAAAAAACATACACCATATACTGGAGTACATCAATTGTTTCAGGGGCATGGAGAAAATATATGAGCCCCATTCACATGTGCAAACAGCCTGTTCTAAATGTGGAGCCCTCCAGGGACTTGACCCAGTAACTCCAGGGATCTGAAGCCTACTGGTTAGAACTGGGGCTTGAATTTGAAGTTGTGTTTTTCTTTCTGTAACAATAGAAAGAGAAATCAAAATGGAACCAGGTTTTAATAGATACAGAGTGTGCACCTGACAAATTTGAAGTGATGTCGGTGCTTCTGTGAACTTCTCAGTGTTTGTGACACCTATAGTCATAACAGTAGCCCCCAGACCTCTTCATACTACTCCTCTCCTGTCTTTTTTCCATCCTAATACATTCTGTATACTTCTTGGGAGAATCTTATATCATTGCCTCAACTTGGAACTTCCACTTTGCTTTAAAGTTTTATTGGCTCTTTATTGCCTTAAAAGGCAGAATTGAACCACCACACCTGGGCACTTAAGACTCTGGGGAATTGGGTTTTAACCCGACTTGTTGCCCTTGCCTTACACTTTCCCTACACAAATCTTTGAATTACTATGTTTCCAAATACACCTTGTGCATTTCTTTGCTCACACTTTTCCCCTTGTTAAAATGCCCTTTAATTCTCCCTTCCCCTTTTCCACCTGTCCAGTTTCTATCAGTCCTTCAAGTTCCAATTTCGTATGTCACCATTGCTTCAAAATGTTAGCTCCTCACTCTGCACAAACTGGGTTTTAAATGAAAAAGTAAGCTTTGGAGTCTAACAAATTTGGTTGGAATACAAAACAGACAAGCTGCATGACCTTGGTCAATTTAGTTAACTCTAATTTAGTAACTTCATTTACTCCAACTTTGAAAGTGGCAATTTTAATATTAATTCTGTATTGTTGTGAGAATTAAATGTATTTATATAATAATCTTGGCAAATGGTTGGCATCTGATAAATAATAATAGTTTTCTTTCTTCTCCCCTGAGGTCCTGTAGTCTGGACCATTTATTTGGTACACACTGTTGACATGTTGCAATAATTTTTTTTATTTATCTGTAGTTACCATCTCATCAACTGATTTTTAAGGTTCCTTTTCCATGGTGATGGTGCCATATATTACTTTGTATCTGTCATAATGTAAAGCACAGATTCATGCATACTAGACATGATTTGATTAACTTGTTATATTTTTTCTCAACAATAAAGAAAAATAGTATCTTTCTTCTCCATTGTCTTTCCACATATTGTCCCTTGTCAACATCAGGAGTCAGTCTCGGAATTCTTATAATTTGTTTTAGATTTTTCTTTTAATTAGTCTCTTTTAAAAAGGGAATGATACTTGATGGATGCCTAGAGCCCCTAAAGAGTGACAACTAATATGAGACAAGGGCAAGTGTCTTTCCGTTTGAACCATGTGGCTTCATTCTGTTTTGCCAGCAGTGAAATGGTGATTTGATTTCAAGTCCTAGATAAGGCATCTTGGATTGGAACATAGTTGTAATGTGGGACACACTCTTGTCTCTCTGATTGGTGATGGGAGGTGATAATCCGTAGAAGGCTTGTATTTTCTGGGCTTGGAAACTGTGGGGTATATAAAGCTATAACCTTTCCCATGATGAGATGGCAGTGCTTTGTATCAGCATCTCAGGTACTCTCAAGAATATAGGAAATCGACTTGGGCAATTCTTTGTAACAGCTTCATGAGTTACAGCAGTTAAAAGTATGTTTTTTGGGAAATATATGTCTTAAAGTTGGGCTTCTTAGTGGTTATAACTTATATAAATACCAGAGGCATACACCATTCATAATTCCATCCAAGGCAACCAAGGTGCGAACATGTTTTCTTTGTAGACACATGAATGCAAACATACCATAAATACATGTACACATGCATACCACTAGAGTAGCATCGAAAATGAAATATGCGGCCGGGCACGGTGGGTCACGCCTGTAATCCCAGCACTTTGGGAGGCCAAGGTGAGTGGATTACCTGAGGTCAGGAGTTCGAGACCAGCCTGGCTAACACGGTGAAATCCCGCCTCTATTAAAAATACAAAAAATTAGCCGGGCGTGGTGGCGGACACCTGTAATCCCAGCTGCTCAGGAGGCTGAGGCAGGAGAATCCCTTGAACCCGGGAGGCAGAGGTTGCAGTGAGCCGAGATCATGCCACTGCACTCCAGCCTGGGCAACAGAAGCAAAACTCCATCTCCAAAAAAAAAAAAAAAAAAAAAAAGAAAGAAATACGCAACTCCATGTGTGTGAAATATCATCAAACTGCATGTTTAGCTAAAGGTTCCATCCTAAGTCTTTGAGTGATCAGTATAGTCCTAAAAGTATCCTAAAATGAGTATATGTCATGGATTAAAGGCAAACCAAAACACACACAAAAAGGGTATGATTTTTGGAGTAATATATACCATAAAAAACAATGTTAATATTGAATATGTATGAGTTTCGTCATAAGTGCTCCTTAGTCTTTCCTAACTCCGAAATAAATTTTAATTTTTAAAAAGGAAAGTATATAAAACCTGCCTTTTTAAAATTTAAGAATAAAAGAAAAAAGTTAAACTATTACAATGCAATTCATATTTTTATACTACATTTTAGGTTTCAGTTTTGCAGTAAACACAAATGAGAAAAATGTTTTTAAGGCTAGTAAGGGAAAACATCTTATGTCTTCATGACATTTTGCCAGGGAAAAATTGTATACATTAAAATTTCAAATAACTGGCATTCAGTTAATTGGCATTCTTGATTAATTTTCATTAAAAGTAAAAATAACACCTGTATTTATTTTTAAAATTTAAATTGTACAGAAGGGACAAAAATGAAAAGTAAAAGTTTCTCTCCACTCGCCACTGGAAATCACTTAGGTCATTTATTTTACCTGCCCTCTTTCTTTCCCTTCTGCGCTCCTGCTATCTCTCTCTTTTTCTGTCTCCCTCCCGTTTTGTTCTATTCAATTGTATTGTGAGGTGGTAAAATTATTTATTTTCTAACTTATCAATCTTAGGCTACTCATATGATGGCCTACTGTGAAGGGCACATCCATTTTACACCATCACCACCTTCCATATCCTCCAACTTTTCTGCATTCTGATTTGTGTTAAGTTTTATAACATATACATTCTACTCTGTAGCCATAGTGAAGCCTTCCTCTACTTTTAAAAACCACAGGACAATTCTACACATTTTAACCCAGTAAAACAGTATTATGTTGTGTAAATGTTATTCAATGAAGAGCCAAGCATTTTGGTTGGACTTTGGCAAAGTAAAGATAATACTATCTCACTAAACTTCCAACTGCTGCAAAAGGAATTCCAAACTTCCAGGTTCAGTGGAAATATATATTTAAAATTCAGAAGTCTTTTTTTTTTAATTTCCAGAATGTGTGTCTATTTATTTATTTATTTATTTATTTATTTTCAAAGGCAGCCTATTCTTTTTAATGGATACCAAATTCTTTCAAATTCTTTCTGAAGATACTAGTTATAATTTTAAAAGCTTTCCTTGCTGAATGATATCTTTTCGGCATTAACTCTTCTGTTCTATGAATTCTTCTAGGCTCTTTTCTTTTGTGCTCTTGGTGTCTCTCAAATATGATCTTGGAGCTGTGTTTTCTGCGTAGCTGTGTAGGTAAGCAGCAGCGGGTGGAGTGTTTGCCAGGTTTTTCTGGAGGAGGTGTGTGTGAGGAGCAGGCAGACACCCTGGGAACCCCCACAACTGGCGAATAAGAATATTTATTTTGGCCTTGGAGCACTTTAATCCTTGTGTGTTCTCCTCAGTTTCTGGGGTGAAAGTCTAATATTACATCAAGCTCCCCATGCTTCCCTCTCAGCCCCCAGTCCCTCACCAGGCTTACTTATCAGCCATATCATACACTTTCTTTCGAAAGCAATTCTTGGGGTTCTCTGTGGGGGAAACCCCAGAATTTTTAAACCTAGATATTGCTGTTATTCATTTTACACACTGAAGAGGGAGAGTCGAGAGAAAGATCTGTATGGTTCAGCTGCTCAGAATGTAATTCTTCAGTTCCCCTCTGCTGACAGCCCCACAGCCCCTACTCCGAACTTGTTGACTCAACTTGAATTGATGTTTCCTTTGATGTTTTGGGTTGCAGTTTTCCCTCTAGTCTTCTCTCCTCTAATTTACTTCCACTGTCTTTGAATCAGTTTCCTCTGAATTTATGATTTTCTTCTGTGTTGCTTTCTTATTTGCCAGAACTCTTAAGAGGTTTTATTCTTCAGGAAAAAAAAATCTCTCATTTCAGTGGGACTTGGAAAGGAAGGATAAGTGGAAATAAATGCTTGATTTGCTTTCTCAAGCTGGAATCAAGGTTAAGGGCTGATCTAACACAACTGTGCTTTAGAAGGATGACTGCCAGTAAATGGAGGGTAGTGAGAGGAGAAACTGAGGCTGGGAGACTGGTTAGGAGGGTGCAACACTAGTTTGTGTGCAAGATGATGAGAGTTCCCAGTAGGACAGTTGCAGCAATAGAAAAAGATGAAACTATATTGGATAGTTTAAAAATTATTCTTTAACTTTAAGACCCGTAAGAAAGTAACCCTATGTACTAAAACAAAAAATTCCAGGGAATATCCTGGAAACAGTACACATGTCAAACCTTTATGTGTACTGTTCTGGACAATGAGCGATGATGTTTAATGATCATGAGGTAGTACAAAATCCTTAGGTAGGAAAATAAGAATTTCTCATGCTAATCAGACTGCATTTTGTTTTTCTCTCTCTCTTTTTTTTTTTTTTTTTTGGAGACAGATTCTCACTCTGTCACTCAGGCTGGAATGCCGTGGCACGATCTTGGCTCACTGCAACCTCCACCTCCCAGGTTCAAGTGATTCTCTTGCCTCAGCCTCCCAAGTAGCTGGGATTACAGGCACCTGCTATGAGGCCAGGCTAATTTTTGTATTTTTCAGTAGAGATGGGGTTTCACCATGTTGGCCAGGCTGGCCTTGAACCTCAAGTGATCCTCCCACCTCAGCCTCCCAAAGTGCTGGGATTACAGGCATGAGCCACTGCTCCTAGCCTCAGACTGCATTTTCTAGGACAGACATGAAGAACATTTTCTACCAGGCTAAAAGAATAAGACTTTAAAATAATGTTGTTTTCTAGTTGTACAGAAACTTCAGTTAACCAGGCTTCAAGAATTCAGGGAACTTGCATCTGTTTTTTTGTTTGTTTGCTTATTTGTTATTTTGAAGTCAGAAAAAGGGTATTATGAAAATGCTACCTTTATTCAGTTATGTGACTAAAACTTATATTTGAGAGAATTAAGAATTACCTTGCTTTTAGGGCAAGCAAAGATAGATTAGCGAGATTGCAAGGCAACTGAACCTCATTTATTTTTTTCAGTACTGGTCTGTGTTTCTGCTTGTATTAGAATTAAAAAGAATCTGAACAAATGCTTAAAACAATTTCTCTAGTTTCTTTGATGGTGTTAGCAGATGCTTCATATTTTAATGGATTATATAAATTGTGAGCATTAGAAAAGCAGTGAAGAGGAATGGAACTAGATCACATTTAGTATGATTATCATTATACTCATCCAGTCAGAGGAAAAATAGACCAATCCTACATATTATGGGTCTACTAAAAATGCAACTTTGTCAAGGAAATTTTTTGTTTCCATAATGGTTCTGTAGTTACTTCATCACAATGTAAAATGGTGTGGGCACAGTTATTAACTATATTCCCAGTGAAGTATACATTTATTTCCTTTGCAGATGTGCACTTCATAATTTTTTCTGTTTATAATTTGTGTATTGCCACACAATTCCCTTTTCTCTTAATAACAAAATAAGCACAGGATGATTCATAAAAGTTTTGAGCCTTTTTTCTTTCTTTTATTAGATCATTAAGAATATTCTAATAGACTCTTTTCTTCAGAGAAAATCTATTTCCATAGATTTCTGTGTGTTGTTAGGGAGTGTTTTCTTTCGTTTACTCATCTTTTGTGGGTTTTTTTTTTCCTGCTCTTTGTGTTTATTTCAGTCAATAAATAGATGAAAAGAAAATGCTGCATAACAAAATGCAAAGTGTATTTTTGTTTGCTAGTTGATAAATTAGGAAGATGTGGGGAACGAAAAATTATAACCTGCATTTGCAAGACACTTTAAAAAACTTTCAAAAGCAGCACATGTATACGATGTCCCATGCTGTCTCTAATGGTCCTGTGAGTTAGTGGGCTAGGTAGTGCTTTCCTAGGATGAGGAAGCCCATTTGCAGAGAGTTTAAGTGACTAATCCAAAGACCTATAGCTGATTGTGGTGCAGACAAGTCTTGATTCACATCTTCTAATCCTCCTTTTGGGAATTACCCTTGACTATGAATAAAGCACAATAGCAAGTCTATAACTGGTAATAAATGCACAAAGAAAGAAATAAACAAAGTATTTATTCTTTTCAGCAATCTTCCTAATTGATACTAAGTCCCAGTATCATTATATTGGTTGTTTGTGCAGATATGTTGATTGACAATCTGCAGTGATTATTAAAGTGGCCAAAATAAACAGATTAATTATGTGTTATCCTTCGTGACACATGCAAACACATGGCCAACATTATGGAATGTAGAAACCACAGAAAGCCTCAGTGAGACTTTGTCCAACACCCTGCTTTTAAACATAAAGAGACCAAAGCTTGTAAAGGCCCAGTGTTCAGAACCACGGTCTTAGATTTATTAATAAAAATTTAGGTTTCCTTACTTGCTCCCAACCTAGGAGTCAGATCTTGTCCTTAGTCGTATCTTCTCCTTTACACACTAATAATTCCCCATATCATTAAAGAAGTGGAGCACTTGACAAAGAAATTTCTACCTCTAATAAGCCATTAATGAGATGGAAATGCAATAGGATTTCTGATCTTTTCTCCCCAAAAAGAAAAAAATGGTAAATTGGAAGGGAGTGTGTGGAAGAATAAAACAGAGATGTATTCTAGGCCCCTGTTACACAAAATGTAGGCCAGGAACCAGCAACAGCAGTATCACCAGCAGCTGGTGAGAAATGCAGAATGTCTGGCTCTAGCTCAGACCAGTCAGAATCTGCAAGATTCCTGTATGATTTGTATGTACATTAAAGTTGAGAAGCACTGCTCTACATCAACAGAGTAAGGAAAGTGAATTTTTTATTTGCTCTTCTCCCATCAATTCTTTTTTCTAATGCAAACATGTCTTTAGGTAACAAGTTGTCAAGATTTGGCTTTCTGAGAAAGTGGAAGTGGCTGTTTAGCTTCTACAAATTATTCTCTGAAACATTAGAACTCTTTATAAGAAATCTCTCCCTCAGAATTATAAAATGCTGTATTTCTCAAAATTGTTCTTTATGTGCCAGATGTCAGGAGTATATATAGTGCCATTTTATGAAAAAATGAATGAATATATTATATTACAGACACATTATTCATAATGCTAAGGATCTTCCTTTGTTTGGAATGCAGAGATTTTCGGTTTGGACTTCATGTTTGTATAAGGCTTATTCTTTCAAGTTCAACCTCAGTTTTTGAGATTTTAGTGTGAAAAACTCAGAAGTAAATCCATTTGATATCTAAAATTTTAGATACAAAGGAAGGCACCATGAAATCAATAATGTATTTGCATGGAAGCAAAGGACATCCCTTGACAGAACATTTACCTCAATGAAATGCAGACCAGTGATATTGGACTTCAAAGCAAACATTAAGTTTACCCAGTATGTATGTAATATTTTCACAAAAGGCAAACTAACATGGTTCTCATTATTTAGAGATATATTTTTCAGAAGAGAGAAAGCTAATGGAAGAATATTCTGATATTTTTGCGGGCCAGATTTTGTTGTTTTCTTGATTCATAACAAGGCTTTCTGGGTACAAGTCAGTCAGGTAAGGAAAGCAGGAATTGACCACTGTCTTAGAAGATGAATAAGATTTGAGTAAGGTGAGGATAGAGGTTTTGTGGGGCCTGATGCGTATATATTGTTGGGTGCCTTTTTAAGATAAATAGTGCAAATTATAAATACAAAATTAGATGCAGTCTTGTAAGAGGCTCATGCAAATGCTTTCTGGCATAACTGCCTCTGGGAAGGCATTCTAAGTGAATAGAATTGGATGCACAAAGGTGCAGCAGTCTAAATGAACTGGTGGAATGGAGGTGTCCATATGAAAAACCAAAGAAGACTTTGTTCAATCCACTGTTGCTATTCCAGGCAGAGGTATTACCTAGAGGTAAATAAGGTATAAAATGGAGCTGGCTGTGGTGACTCTCTCTTGTAATTCCAGCAACTCAGGAGGCTGAGGCAGGAGGATCCCATAAATCCAAGAGTTTGAGGCTGCAGTGAGCTTTGTCACCCAACCTGGGTGACAGAGTAGGATCCCATCTCTAAAAAAAAATTTTTTTTTTTTTAAAAAGAAAGTATAGGCAGGGCACGTTGGCTCACGCCTATAATCCCAGAACTTTGGGAGGCCAAGGTGGGTGGATCATCTGAGGTCAGGAGTTCGAGACCAGCAGGCCCAACATGGTGAAATCCCATCTCTACTAAAAATACAAAAATTAGCCGGGCGTGGTGGCTCACGCCTGTACTCCCAGCTACTTGGGGGGCTGAGGCTTGAGAATTGCTTGAACTCAGGAGGTGGAGGTTGCAGTGAGATGAGATCATGCCACTGCACTCCAGCCTGGGCAAAAGAGTGAGACTTGGTCTCAGAAATAAAATAAAAATAAAAATAAAATAAAATAAAATAAATTAAAAAAAGGTATAAAATGGAGATTCAGTCTCATTACCATCACTACTATGAAAGTCAAAACTTATCACCACATGCTTCACTCTAGCCCTACAAATTTTCCCCTGCCATCTGAGCCATTCTTAGACTAGAGGAAATGATGAATTGTTTGGCTTTTACCAAATGTTAGTAACTTCCAGGTGAAGGAAGCAGTTTAAAATTAAACCGTTGCTTTGAAAGTGAGGTGACAAATTTCCTGTAAGCATAATATGTTTATTTTACCAACTTTTAAAAATAAAAGTGTTAAAAATGAAAGAAATGTTTTCAGTGGAAATAGAGAACAGTCTATGCGTTTACAGTAGTCCATGCTTCTTTAATAAACTTAACTTTAATGGATTAATTTTTCCCTGATACATATTCAGTAACATCATTTTTGAGTCAGTTTTCACAAATTCTAACTTAGTGAAAGGAATTTGAAACCTTTTGCTTCCCCCAACATTTTATAGTATTTCTCAGTTAACTTGAATGCTCACAAATTACATTCTATTCACTTAAATATTATATAGCACTTTGATGAAATGATAAGCAACTGAGCTTTAAAAAAAATAGTGATCCTAGAAAGGTTTGTGGATCTGTAGACTAAGGAAATAAATTAATGAATGTGTTTAGGATGTGCCAGGACAATAAGGTTCCCAACAATCCTTAGGTGAGAAAATTCTGTACTTTTAAATCCCAGAGGGCAAATCAGGTCTCTTTCATTCATCACAGTCTTGGGAGCTCCTAATTTTAAACTAGTGTGTAGGTGTCTCTCTGTTCACAATAGAACAAGAGAATCAATAAGAGATGGATAGTTTGGGAAGATTTCAACTGCTTCGGCACCTACTTTCATTACACACAAGGCACAGATGCATCAAGGTCAAGAGTCACTTGTAGACACTGTGATTTGGGTCCAAGAGAAGCTTTCTCTTGAGTGGCATTCTCTTGAAATGTATTTGCAAATACATGGCAATTTAGACTAACAAAGGCAATCCACTTTACTAATATATTTGCAGTGGCAGAAGAGATGCTCAAATTCAGGATTCAAAGGCAAAGGTAAAAGGAGAGCCTTGAATTTAAAAATCAAATCAAAACAAAACAAAACCTCACTCACCAACTTGTATGGTTCCTCCAGTCTTTTCTCGTCTTGGATTTTCATCATTCTGATACATTTACTGCTCTGTTTGGTTAAATCCCAAATTACCACTTCAATTTATCAGCTGGTCACGGTCTCATAGAACAGATCCTAATCCCAATGTCAGCACCACTCTACAAGGGCTGCTCCTGCGTTAAGTTTGTATGGAGTTGCCCTGGATACAGCTCCCTACCTAACTCTGTGGCCCTCACAGGGGGCGCTTCCAGCCCGCAGGCAATGCAAATTAGCACAGGAAATGTTACATTAATTTCTAGGCACTTCAAATAATAGTTAGAACGAATCCCTAACTAAATTGGTAGGGAGCAGTTAGGTTACTGTCTTTCCACTCCTGGGTAAGGTACCTCCCTGCTGATTGACAGGTCGTCCGCTTCTGAGCAGGGGAACAGGCTGAGAGTTTAAACTTCGCTCCCCCCAACACAGCTTTTACTTCAGCAAGTAAAAGCGTCACCATAGCGGCTTGAGTATATTTGCTCTTAACCTGCTCTATTTTATATAGACACGTATAAATGCATATATAAAAATAGAATGTACTTACATGGTAAATATGTATATATGTAGATGCATACACACAGATACACATGTGTGTAAATACATATTTATGCATGCAGATATACATATACACACACATATATATACATCTATAAAATTTTAATGTGTCTGGGTTTAAGAGGGACTTGGTGGATAGCAGCCTTCTTAGGAACACCCTCTGCCTCTCCGAACCCTATCATCGCATAATCATCCCTCTGGCTTCATGAAACAGACATCTGTGTTTACTGGAACTACCATGATATTTATTGAGAGGCAACAGAATATAGTCCAGAGAGGCATTTCCTCCAGGCTAAGATAGTCAAAGATAAAATACCAGTTCTTCCACTTACTGTCTGTGTGTTCCTGAACAAATTTCTGAACCCTTCTGTGCCTCAGTTTCTTCATCTATAAAAGGAGGATAATGAGAAAAACATATCGCTTAGGATAAATATCAAGATAAAATGAGATAGAAATGTACATGTTATAGTTCATATAACAACTATACAATAAATGTCACCTATTATCTCCTTATAATATTATCTGGAAATAATAGAATATGTTATATAATTAATTACACAACTGAAGCTTAGATAGTACCCACCTTGCCTGAAGCCTAGTAAGGGTGGAGCAGGGAACTCCATCACTGGTCTGTCTGACAGAGAAGCCCCTCTTCACCTGTTTCCTGATCCCTGCTTTTGCCTGTGTAATAGTGTAGCCTGTTTCCTTTTCCAAGACCCTACTTTATACTTTGGCACATCATCTGCAGTGCTTTGGGCAATGTGGAGTCTAGGGGGTGCATAATAAAGATATATTGTTGGATTAATTTGTTAGCACACCTCTACCTGTGATGCTGCTAAACAATTTTTAAACTTCTGACAATGCACTTCTCTAATAACCTGTTATAAAATGTTTATCTTTCAGAAGCTGTCTTTATTAAACTCATAACTTTTTTTCCCTTTCTCTTTAGCACAATTTCACTTAGCTCTCTTATGTTCAACTTGTTAGTTGAGATTGTTTTCTAATTGTATATAGCATGGCCAAATAAATTGTAAGTTGCACTTTCTTCATATTACTCCTTAATTTCACTTGCATTTCAAGGAGCAGTAAATAATTATATACACATCAGAGATTCTACGTACAAACAAATTGAAAAGTCTAAAGAGCCATTTACATTTTTTACTGGATGGTGTTTTTGCTCTCATATGGTTTAAAGAAATGTGATGGTGTGTTAGTCTGTTTGCGTTGCTCTAAAGGAATACCCGAGGCTGGGTAGTTTATAAAAGAAGTTTATTTGGCTTACAGTTCTGCAGGCTGTACAAGCATGGTACCAACATCTGCTCAGCTTCTGGCAAGGCCTCAGGAAGCTTATAATCATGGCAGAACGCAAAGGAGGAGCAGGCATACTACATAACGAGACAGCGAGCAAGAGAGAGAGAGGAAAGGAGGTGCCAGGCTTTTAAACAGCCAGCTCTCACATGAACTGAATGAGAACTCACTCGTTCCTGTGGGAAAGGCACCAAGCCATTCAGGAGAGATCTGCCCCCATGACCCAAATACCTCCCTCTAGGCCCTCCTTCCAACACTGGAGATCACATTTCAGCATGATATTTGAAGGGGACAAGTATCCAAACCATGTTAGATAGTGAGTGCAAAGTCAACAATTACAATTACGTCCTGGTTGCCTTTATCTTTTTGATTTTCTTTAAAGACAGGGTCTCACTATGCTGCCCAGGCTGGACTCTAACTCCTGGCCTCAAACAATCCTCCTTCCTCAGCCTCTCAAGTAGCTGGGACTACAGGTGCACACTACTGTACCCAGCCACCTTTGTCTCGTTTGTCCTTTTTTGCCAGGATTCATACTGTTGATCAATTTTTTCTTCTCCTCTTAGCCCCTTCTCCCTGGGCCTTCAGTGACACCTGGATCTCCTGGGTTTCTGCCTAACTGTCAAGCAGCTTCTTGGGCTTGCCACTTACATCAGGTCTTAAATTGCCATTTCTTTGGTCTGTTTCTTTGCTTTGCTACCTTCTTTGGTCTGCTTCTTCCTTAAAGCTATTACCTGGCTGCTCTCATTTACATTTGTGACCCTCCCTACCATACCTTGCATATTGTTCCCCAAGCTCCAAACCTGTATCTCTTTTGAGGACCAAACCTATGCTCTCAATTGACTGCAAGAGAATTCTCCTCTCTCAACCATACCACAAAATCATCATGTCCAAAGCTGAACTAATTTCCATACAATACCTCAAGTCTACACCCCTTTCTGCGTTAGATATCTAAGTGGATGACCGCACCATTTACCTTTTACAAAATAAACAAACTTGGGTGTAGATCAAGATTCTTCTCTCAGTCAAACACCACACTCTGTTAATATTACATCTGAAAATATCTGTTGAATCTATCATTTCTTCTTCATGCTTAGTACTGCTACCTTAGTTTTGTTCCTCATGATTTCTTGCCTGTGTTATTATAATAGATCCCTAAGTGGTCTCTTTGTCTACATTCTCACCCCCTCCATTTTATCCCATTGTGCTTTCCAGAAGGAACTTTCTAATTGTAGATCTGATTGTGCCTCTCTTGGGGCACACATCGTATCACTGCCAGGACAGGACCAAGTACCAAGCACCGTAGCATGGCAGTGAATGCAGATTAAGACCTCATTCCTGCCCATTTCATCAACTTTTTTTTTTCCTTTTTTTTGAGATGGAATCTCACTCTGTTGCCCAGGTTGGAGTGCAGTGGCTTGATCTCGGCTCACTGCAACCTCCGCCTCCCGAATTCAAGCAATTCTCCTCCCTCTGCCTCCTGAGTAGCTGGGATTACAGGCGCCCCCAACCATGCCTGGCTAATTTTTGTGTTTTTAGTAGAGACGGAGTTTCGCCATGTTGTCCAGGCTGGTCTCAAACTCCTGGATTCAAATGATCCACCCACCTCGGCCTTCCAAAGTATTGAGATTACAGGCATGAGCCACCACACTCAGCCTTCATCAGCCTTTATGTCTTCACAAGAAATTACATTTCTGCAACTCAGACAACTGTCCTTCCTGTTCTTGAAGGAGCACGATACTGCAGGACAGTTATTAAACATGTGGACTCCTGAAGCCCAACTGCTTAAGTTGAAATTAAGGCTCTATGTGACACTGGAGAAATACCTCACCTCTCTGGCCCGTGCTTTTCTCAACTGTGAAAGGGGAATGTTATAGTATCTACTTTACAGGATAGTTGAAATGGGTAAAGCACAGGGAATAGCAGAATAGCAAGTGCTCAATATAAGTGGCTGTTGTTGGTATTACCTGTTCTTTAGTCCCTCAGCTGCCTTCTCCTACTGCCTGAAATAGCTAACATCTACTCTTTATTTAAACCTTAACTTGCATTGTATGTTCCAGAAGAGTTCTCTAGCCCTATCCTCCAGGCCCTCACTGCGTTCCATGCATACCTCTATCACGGAGCTCAACTTAGTTTTGGGTCATTGTTTACCTGGGTTGAGGCTCTTTCATCTTTGTCTTCCCCAGCACCAAGCACTAATAATATCTCAGTAATTGTTGAGTGGTTTGTTTAATAATGTAAGTTGGTGTTTAAATAAATGACTGCTGTAGGTAGCTCGGAAATGACCTTGGGCAAGAGAAAGTGAGTTTTTTCATAGGATGGTTAGGAGTATTGAATGGATGTGATTATGCTTTAAGGACTCTAAAAATATTAATTCTCTGAACAGTTGATGATGGAAGTGGTATTTCTGCCAGATTTTACCTTGTTGTATAAAAGCCATTTATCTTTGTTGTTCTGCTGTCTGGATGGTTATTCTTAATTACCTTTCCTCTGAGATACCACAAAATATACACTTCTGCCGAGAGGCATCATGCGATAGAGGAAAGAAAGAACACTGGGCCAGAAGGCATGAAACCAGGTTCTATTTTGTGTTTATTCTTGACTGCTTTGGGTAAGGAGGCGGCCTAGCTGAAATTCAGTATTCTTGTCCATCACAGATGACTGGTATACTTTCTTAGGTTCCTCCCGGCAATCCTAGTCTGTGATTTATATCATCTGAATGAATACTGTAATAATGATTAAATTCTTAGGTACTTTAGTAACTGCATCACCACATCTTTCTTCCTTTTCTCTATTTCTACCAAAAAAACAAACAAGTTAACTTGGCTACAAAGTGGTTTATTCTAAATAGTTTGAAATATTTTTCAGATGGCTTAAGAAGCACTTATTTGTGTGGCATGGTTGGTGAACAAGAACTTTAGAATTTAATGTCAGATCTTGCTGCCAGAGAAGGAGGTGGAGTGGGAATAGAATGGTGATGAATCAGAAGCCTCTGGTCTTTTGAAGTCAGAAAAATGATACTTTAATGGAGTCATCCACACAAAAATGTTTTAGGTTTGATATCTTGAAAGAAGAACACATTGTGGGATTGGCTTTAGGTAGCAAGTAACGAGAGAAAATGCCAGAAGACAAAATAAATAAATAATATTTAGCAGAATCTAGTTGTAAACAGACTAATAACTCAAAGAAAGACATGAGAAACTTGACTAAATAAGAAGGAATTCCTAAGTTTCGGAAGAGCAAGGCTACACCTTAAAGGAAGCTTTCATTTCCAGAGTACTGATTAAGCATTTCCGACGTGCATGTGAGGCACTGTTGTAGGCACAGTGTATGTATTAAATCACAACAATCCTATGAAATAGGTACTATGACTATACCCATTTATCAGATGAAGAAACTGAGGCACTATAGAACTATACGAAGTCACATTGCTAATAAAAAGGGCACATAAGATTTGAATTCAGGCAGTCCAGCAGAATCTGAATCTTACTTAACAATAAAACCCTCTTATTAAAATTTGCACATTTGAGTTGGAGGTTTTCCTGAGGGGAAGGAAGAGGATAGCATGTTTTGCTTTTGTTTGTTTGTTTGTTTTTTTAAAGTAGAATTTCCAAAATTTGGGGGCATGGCCAAAATTATTTATCTTCCTAAATCTTCAAAATGTATGGGAATTATTTTTTCCATACCCCGTATGTTCAGTCATATAGAAATATCAGCTCTGAGGAATGGGTTAGTATAAGATAGTATGTGCAAATATAAAAAAAATTCATGCATCATGATATCCTTGTAATATATGGCCCATCTTTCTTCACATTCATAAACCCTTCAATGTATAGGAGAATTGTATGTGAATGATTTTTTACTATTAAATGAAAAAATATAAATGAGCATTGAACCCCTATTTTACATGGAGCATTGTAAATTTAGAAAGTTGTCAGAATTGTCAGTTCCATTTTTCTTTTTCAATTTTCAAGACTTTTAAATCTTAATATTTATCACACAACCAGAAAAAGTATATAAAACATACAGCACAGGTTTGATGAATATTTTTAAGTGAACATTCATGCACCTTTTGTTCTAGTCAAGAAAAGAGCATTCCCAACATGCTAGGAGCTCCCTTCTTCTTTAGCACCCAAGTCATGACCCATACCTTTCCCCTATCTTTATGTCAGTGTTATTTCTAACTCTTCTTAATATCATCAAATATTCATCAAACCACAGAAGCCCGTCAAAGAAACAAACTATTCATTACACTTATTAAAGAACAGTGAGTCAGACTCTATTCAAGGAGGGCTACTCAGGACTGCAGAGATAGGTGTAGGGACCACTACACTGTGGTTTTGCAATGGGGAAGATAGATTAGGCTCAACTCCTTGTACAACAAGAAAAAATGGGAGTTTATAGACAAGGAGTAGGGGTGAGTGTCAGTGGATCGAAAATTCCTACAGGGAAACACCAGGGTGAGGGGGATTTCTGGGCAAACGGACTTGACAGGATTCTTGCTAAAGGCAGGCCAGGGTGATCAGACTGGACAATGGTAGAGAATAAGGAAACTGACCAGATATCAAGGGTGATCAGATATCAAGGATGGCCAAGCTGACATAACAGGATTCTTGCTACAGTTGGAGAATGCAGAGACAACATGGAAGTCCGAAAGTCAAGGCCTACCTAAGAAGAGAGCTCAGAAAAGGCTGAGTAGAGTTTGGTCAAGGAGAAAATTTTTATCAAGGCTAAAATATGTTTTACTCCATACCAGCAATCCACTGACTTGCTAATTTATTAATCATAAAATTATAGTGTGTGATGCTAATTTCATAAGTGAAATTCATTTTTAAAAGTTATCAATGTTTCAGAAAAAAGATATACTGCTAGTTCCTCAATAATCATTTCTCTTCACTAAGGAAGAATATCCTGTACTTTATGTAACAAGAGATAGGCTGGTACATATTAAACACAATTTCCATAGAGTCAGTTTGGTGAAATACATTCCACCATTGACAGCTATTAACTGTTGTATTCATAAGTCACAATGAACTTTTGAAATAATTTTCTCAGTCTTTGCAATAGAATTATGTAAATATTATTATTGCCACTTTTTATAGGTGATAAAAGAGCTAATATCTTCATGAGTCCTTTTATGGATGCGATGTGGAAATTAGGGTGCAAAGAGGCTGGGTGATATGCCTAGAAACACACAGCCAGGAAGTAGCACTGTCAAGACTCAAAACGAGGTCTCTGCTTTCAACCCTTTCCACTTGCTCATCCTGCTCTTTTAAAATAAAATGTTTAACAGCAATCTTTTAACTTTTCAAAGAAATAGATAGTTTACTAGGTGCTTTTTAATTAATATGAAAGACTTCATAGCTGCCCTGTCAGGTAGGCAGATTGGGAGATTTTAGCCTTATTTGGTGAAAACAAAAAAATCCTGAGGTTCAAAGATGAAAAGTGATCAAATTAAGTAACATGACTTGTAGGTGGTGCAGTGTGGCTTGAAATGTTTTTTATGTGGATTCCACAGTGGGGTTGGAGAAGAAAAAAAAGAGGGCCCATTGAAGTATCACCTCATTTTCTCCTTCTGCTGCAGGATTTTTGCTTCTTAGCTCAGCTAGGTCTGGATTCTTGTCTCATGACCAGGAAGAATTAGGCAAGTGAATGTCAAAGATTGAGTGGGCTAGAATTTATTAAACACAAGGAAAGCTCTCAGCAAAAAGAGGAGAAGTGGGGGGTGGTTCCCCTACCTGAAAACAGGAACGTTCCTCTAATATGGCTGGGCCTGGGGATTTTTATGGGTCAGAATAGGGAGTGTGTGCTGATTGGCTTGTAAGTATGCAAAAAAGGTCAAAGTGAAGATACCACTCAAAGGTGCGCATGACAGTGTACAAAACCTATTAGGAAAGGGTAGTTATATGTAAAACAGGTGTAGGATGGGGATCAAAGACAGGAAAGTGTGCCAAATGGGAAGATGAGTTCTCAATCTGGTCCAAGGATTTACCCAGGACAGTTTCCAGCTTGAAGGTTGGGTTTCAATGAGGACCCACTCCTAACTGCTTAGGCACTTCCTATCACTTTCTTCCCCTTTGACGACAACCATTGCCACATATACTGGCATATATGTGGTCCTTAAACACCAGGGAACACCCGGGGAGGGGTTGAGACTGAGGTTTGGGGAAGTGACCCCTACTGTGAAAAGGCTTACATTAGGAAGAGGGAAAAAGATGAAAGAGAAATTTAAGGAGGGAAAGGAATAGAAAAGTTGGTCTTGAATTTTTAAGGGAGAGACTTATTTATTAGAGAGGTTAATATTAGGGCACAGGGACTACTGGAGTATTTTTGAAATATCCTAAAAAGCTATGGTGACTGAAGAGAAGGAAACATCAAGAAAATGAATTACTACATTGCTTTCAAGGTCAGTTAGATAAAAACATAGTTTCATTTCTTCTAAGCATTTTTTTCTCTAACCCCAGTATTCCTAATTTGGGGGTATTTAGAGATAATATTTGCCTCTATTTCATCTACCAATAATATATGAAGACTAGAAGGGTCTATGCCTCATCTAGTTTTCAAACACCTTTCTTGATTCTCCTGCCTGTTATGCCTGAAGGAGACATATACAATTCTTTTCACAAACATTTGACACCTATCTTAATAAAATAACAAGCACATGCCTTGTAGCACTTCAAGGAGAAAAGGAAGGTAGAACTAAAACCGAACCATTATGGGGTACTGCATCTCTATAAAGGTAAGGAGACTTCATCAAAGAACTGAAATGGATCCAGGGGGACCAAATTTTATTTATAGTAGTTTATAGTACTAAAAAGTTAGAACTGATAGCTAATTTTAAAGTCATTTCCTAACCACAAACCTTAAAGTGATGATGATATCAGTGCATTGCATTCCTATTTCAAATATTTACTTACACATGAAGATGACAATTAGAAAAGCAATACTAGCAGGATTTTCACAGCCCAGTCTTTGTCTCAGAAGGACTCTGTGCCTTTTTTTTTTATATCCATTCAAACTATTTTGAGATTTTATATGCCTAGACTCAATCATAAAATTGAATTCAGATATAACCTTTTGCAGTATGTGGAGCTAATGAAATCACCCCAAAGGTCATTTACTTAAGCAATAAGCACTTCAAATTGATCATGATCAGTTAAACTATCAACTCCAAGTAATGATTTTTTTTTGTCTCTTTTTCTTTTTTCTTTTGGTACTTACTCAAGTACCAGAATTAGAAGATCGGTTTGTCCCTAGTGTTTAATATCCAATTTTCTACCAATCACAACACAAGACATGCTCTGTTAGATTCATGATACTCTTAAAATGGGTTTTATTTTACAAGTCAAGGTACAATCACCAATTTTGTTGACATATTACTACAAGCTATGTAAAGCCTTAGATAAAAAGCAAAAAGGAGATAAATCTGTGTATCTCACATCTGATAATCACACATTGTAGGAAAATTTGAAAAATGTAAGGATATGAATGTAGACATATGCATGACAATAAAGGACACTTTCAAATTCAATATTTTTAGCTCAGTTTTCAAAATCAATTTTTATTTCCTATGTCTCTAGTAACATTGGGTAAGTCAGACTGTGTATAATAATATTACATATCATTTCAATTCAATCAAATAATAATATGTCAGTAAACTTGGTGAACCAAATTTATGTACTCTTATCATTAGTTATATATTCCAATTTCTTTAAACATTTCTAGGAATCATGGGACAGAAGTTTAGCATTATAATTAAAAGTTTGGTTTTAGATAACTCTATATGAATATTATAAATATCACATGAATATGTATCACCATGTCATCTTTATTTTTTATCTGAAAGATAACTTTTGGGCTAGATCATAGCATATGGCCCCTTCTGTAGAATTTGAGCAGAGCGAATAAAGAGTGAACATTCAAATTATCAGTGGTGTTACCTAGTCAGCAACCGTGGCAAAGCAGCTGATAGTTACTGAGTTGAAAAGAATTACTGAAATAAAGTTTGGGGACTTTGGATTTATTAACTTTTTCCTGCTATGGACTGCATTCAAATGCATCAAATAGCATCTCTTTTACTAGGAACAGAGATCAAAAGAGGAAACTAACATTAAATAGATAATGGTGCCTCCCATAGAACCTTAAAGTAACTGTCTACTTACTTCTCAAATTCAAAATACATGATTTATAGAATCATCTACTGTTCTTTCACCAATAATTAATTTTATTTATAAAAAACCCTTTTTTAAAATTTTCTATTCTGATATGGTTTGGCTGTGTCTCCACCAAATCTCATCTTGCATTGTAGTTCCCATAATCCCCACCTGTCATGGGAGGAAACCGATGGGAGGTAATTTAATTATGGGGGTGGTTACCTCCATGCCGTTCTCGTGATAGTAAGTTCTCATGAGATGTGATGGTTTTATAAGGGTTTTTTTTCCCCCTTTTGCTTGGTACTTCTCCTTCCTCTGCCATGTGAAGAAGAATGTGTTTGCTTCCCTTTCCACCATAATTGTAAGTTTCCTGAGGCCTCCCCAGCCATGCTGAATTGTGAGTCAAATAAACCTCTTTCCTTTATAAATTATGCAGTCTTGGGTATGTCTTTATTAGCAGTGTGAGAACGGACTATCTAAGGTTTTCATTTTGGCTGAATATTTGTATAACTAATATAATGATGTTGGCTGGGTGCAGTGTCTCATGCCTGTAATCCCAGTACTTTGGGAGGCTGAGGCTAGTGAATCACCTGAGGTCAGGAGTTTGAGAACAGCCTGGCTAACATAGCGAAACCCCATCTCTACTAAAAGTACAAAAATTAGCCGGGTGTGGTGGTGCACACCAGTAGTCCCAGCTACTCGGGAGGCTGAGGCAGGAGAATCACTTGAACCTGGGAGACGGAGGTTGCGGTGAGCAGAGATCATGCCACTGCACTGGGCAACAGAGCAAGACTTCATCTCAAAAAAAAAATGATGATATTGTTTTCATTATTTTTTTTGCATCATTTAGATAATTTGTTTTACATCCCACATGTAATACATAAGCAAATCCTGTTGGTTTTGCCTTCAGAGTGTGTCCTAATCTAACCATTTATCATCACTTTATCTCTGCCACCATGTCCCAAGTCATCACACCTCCGACCTGGATCACAGCAAGTGCTCCTAACAGGTCTCCTTATTTCTACCCTGGTTCCTGATAGTATGCTTTTCACAAAACAGTACATCTTTCAACATTTAAACTAGATTGTGGCACTCTGCTGCTCAAAAGCCTCCAATGACTTCCACATCACACTTAGAACAAAATGCTAAGTCCCCCATCATGGCCTATGGGGATTTGCCTGATCTTGCTCCAGGTTTCCTCTCCACCCTTGTTTCCCACCACTCTTCTGTGTTCCACCCAGCTGGCCCCCTTCAACTACTGAACACAAGAAAGCTCTTCTCAGAGTCACCTCCACCTGGAAGGTTCTCCCCTCAAGTACACATGGTTTGTGCTTTTACTCTACCTTGAATTCCTCTCTAATATCAGGTTCTCAGAAAAGCCCTGCCTTACCCTCCTATTTCAAATGGGTCTGCCTTCTATTATTCTGCCCTTTCACTCTAGATTAGTTTTTTCATAGTACGTATTGCTATTTAAAATAATATTATTGGTTAATTGGTTAATTGGTTGATTGGTTAATTGTCTGGCTGCCCCAATATGTCTGGCTGCCCCAATATGTCTGACTGCCCCAGAATGTGAGATCCTGTAAGTCAAGAACTTTTCTTTCTCTCTTCTTATTGTTTAAACTAGTCTATACCTGGGAAGTAGAACTAGTGCCTAGAATATAGAGGCACTTGATGAAAAAATAATGTTGGATTATTTGAGGAATTAATTTTCTTTTTAATAGGATGTGACATAAATACCTCCATTTGTTTCCTCCAGGGATCCCAGGACCTTACTCCTTTCTATTATAATGATAGAAATGCCACCATTGTAATACTAGCATTTACTAATGTTTGTATCTGTTTTCAGGAATGTGTTTTATCTCTTTATCTAATTGGTGTTTTGAAACCAGCATCCTACTGCTTTAACCATTGTAGTTTTATGGTACATTTTATAACTGACAGTGTAAGTTCCCTCCCCAATACTCTTTCCAAATTCTTATTTATTCTTGCTGATTCTTCTTAGTTTTGCCAGATGATCATGAGAACAACCAATTCAAAACAGTTATGTTTTAACTGGAATTGTGTAGAGCTATAAATTAGTTTGGAAATGTTTTTGCATTTTTTTTTACAATGATGAATCTTTCAACTCAAGAGAAATATGTCTCTCCATTTATTCAAGTCCTGTTTTGCAGCTCAATAAAACTTTGTGGTTGGCCAGTTGCAGTGGCTCATGTCTGTAATCCCAGCACTTTGGGAGGCCAAGGCAGATGGATCACCTGAGGTCAGGAGTTCGAGACCAGCATGGCCAACACAGTGAAACCCCGTCTCTACTAAAAATACAAAAATTAGCCGGGCATGGTGGCATGCACCTGTAATCCCAGCTACTTGGGAGGCTGAGGCAGGAGAATTGCTTGAACCCAGGAGGTGGAGGTTGCAGTGAGCCGAGATCACACCACTGCACTCCAGCCTGGGCAACATAGTGAGACCCTGTCTAAAAAACAACAACAACAACAAAAAACCCCACAAAAAACCAAAACTTTGTTTTTTTCTTCATTTCCATGTATTTCTTATTACAGTTATTCTTAGGTTTTTTATATTTCACATATTACATATAAGTTATTTCCAACTGAGATTGAGCTTTAAGTGATATTTTCCCAATGAGTCCCACCTGATTTCTCTTTGTGCTTTGCAACTGACGATCTGGATGCATGTTAGATTAATTATTTTCAAATGGGAATTACCTTTTTTTTTAAAAAAAATAACTCCTTATTTTGCTGTTTATGGGCTTAATAAAGATAAAATAGTGTATTCTAAAATGTTCACATCATGTCATTTGCCCCATTCCTCTTACTCCCTATGACCTTTATCAAAATAACTGAGAACTTGTCGTTTGTATTTATACAAAAATTGCTTAGCAGTCGAACATTTTATTAATCATTTGCGCAGAAAAATACATCGAAAATCAGTTTAACACTGTTCAAAAAATTACAAGTCATTTAAAATCAATTTTTGGGGAAAAAAAGAACTTGTTTCTTTTTCAAATATGCAGATGAATGTTCTGTATTGTGTCTAGCAAGCAAACAACTCATTCCTTTTAAAAAAGTGTAGTATAAGCGTTGAAAGGTTAAACTGAAAGAAAATCACTAGGCCATGAATTATAGAAAAGTATAATAGATATAAAAATAATTCAAAACTATGTATTTACCCCATTCTTTATTATCTGTACATTTTATAGTCTTAGTTTATATAAATGGCAAAACTGGCTGAGAACAGTGGCTCATGCCTGTAATCCCAGCACTTTGGGAGGCTTAGATGTAAGGATCGCTTCAGCCCAGGAGTTTGAGACTAGCCTGGCCAACATAGCAACACTCAATCTCTATGAAATTTTGTTTTAAAGTTAGCTGGTTGTGGCCGGGTGTGGTGGCTCACGCCTGTAATCCCAGCACTTCGGGAGGCTGAGGCGGGAGGATCACGAGGTCACCAGTTCGATACCACCCTGGCCAAAATGGTGAAACCCCATCTCTACTAAAAATACAAAAATTAGGCGGGCGTGGTTTCACACGCCTGTAATCCCAGCTACTCGGGAGGCTGAGGTAGGTGAATAGCTTGAACATGGGAGGCGGAGGTTGCAGTGAGCCACGGCACTACAGCCTGGGACAAAGCGAGACTCCGTCTCAAAATAAATAAATAAATAAATAAATAATAAATAAAGTTAGCTGGTTGCTGTGGGGTGTGCTTGTAATCCCAGCTACTTGGGAGGCTGAGGTGGGAGGATCACTTGAGCCCAGGAGTTTGGGGCTGCGGTGAGCCATGATCATGCCATCGTACTCCTGCCTGGGCAACAGAGTGAGACCCTGTGTCTAAAATAAATAAATAAGTAAATGGCAAAACTATGTCACACGAGTCAGAAATTATATCCAACACTTGGGCCTTACAAATTTCTTTTCCCGTTTATCTGTGAAATTTCTGGACATAACAAATGTTCTTTTTATTTCATGTCATTGCTGTTGCTTTTCATGTTCAAGTACTACAGTATTCTAAACACTGGTACCAGACACTCATATCAGATACTGCCCTGGAGAAGGTCAAGGGCTCTGAAATATACATTATCCTCATTAATCACTGTAAATAGAGAGTTTCAGGATGAAATTATTTAGAATATGTTATAATATGAATAACCAAAGACGACCACTTGCGTATTGTGGTTTGTAAAAACTGCCCGTGACACCTTCTTAGTGAAGATTCTGTTCCCCAAATAAGGATTATCTTTGAATAAAGTGATGTCATATTAGCTGGTGTGGAGATTCAATAATCCTGTGATGTTTCTTGAGAGAAGAGGGTCAGTTGGAGCTTCTGAAACCCATATTTTTGGTTGCTGTTCCACATCACAAAAATAAAATCCATCTCTTCCTTTATTTGTGTCATGTATACCTGCTTTTCTTGATGATGTGAATGATTAATACAAACTGTCACATTGATAGCTGATTTTAGAACGCTCATTTAAAAATATCTTAATTTCTGGGGTGGGATGCTGGGGGCGGAGTAGGGGCGGGGAGCAGCGCAGCCTCAGCGAAGGCGCAAGAGCAATGTGTGGAGTCAACGACACTTATCTTTGAGAACTTGCGGGTAGGGCGCTTTAAATTAAATATTAACATCTTAAAAATGAGGTCTGGGCTGGTTATCACTGCACAGAGGAGACCTAAATCGGGCTGTAGTGCTGAGGTCCCTGGCTCCACTGCACTGAGACAGAGTGCAAACTGATCTGCCTGTGGAGGGGGGTGGGGGTTGCAACTTCATTTTCCTCTGACATATTTTGTTGCCTGATTAATAGGCTGACACTAATTTAGGTCTCAGAAGACTAGGATGTTCTGTAACAGGATAGAGAAGGAAGCGGGGGAGGAGAAAAGGGGGAATAACAGAATGTGGGATGTCTTGGAATTTGGGCCTAGGGAAACCCAGGGCATATTTTAAAGACCTTACCCGCTAGCAAATTGAGAATGAAAAAGCCAGTGCCTTAAACAATTAATTTTGCTAATCATGCAATCTAAATTGTCACACTTAAGTATCTCAGTGTTGACCTGTTTAGACAATATGCCTTAATCCACAGGGGAGTAGTTTCAGTACATCATGTTTAAGTTAGCTAATTAATATCAAAAGCAGGGTGGAATTGACTAACAGGTAATTTAATCAAAAGATAATTAAAACTATTGAAAGTTACAAATTATTATTTAATTAATACTAGTTAATATTATAATTTTCAAAGTTTGAATTATGCTGATTAAAGCGTTCTCTCATAAATACCACTGAAAATTAATTACAAATTAATATAATCTGCTGAAACATCCTCTTAATGGACTTCCAGCTATTCTTGACTTTTGCAATAAATAAACATTAGACCCCATACTGCATCCCATCTTCCTGAATATGTTAGGCATTCTGAAAATATTGAGGCCTTCAACTCCCTGGGTTTCTAAAGGAATGCACATATACATTAGCACCTTTAATAGCAGAGAGGTTGATGCTTTTGCTGGGGTAGAGGCTGAAGGGCAGTAGAGGTGGGCAAACACTGAGGGGGAGCTCCACTAGCCAGTGCCTTTTTGGCTCCTCAGCGTGGCCTCGTTGCCTGTTTTAGAGAAGCTTCCAGAAGATAGTTGGGTGGGACATTAGAGGAGACAGTGGAATGTTGCTCTTGGCCCTTTGCTTCTTCCTGCACTTTGCTATAATCTCTGTCTGTGGGTGAATTCATTAGGAATCATGTGCAAGGATTCAGGTGAGTATGTTTGGGGAGCCTGAGAAAATCAGACCTTGTGAAGGAAACCTAACAGCCTGTGATAGAGCTGTGTTATATTATATATATTTGCAGAGAATATAGAGAAATAAAGGAGAAGTCAGGGGTAGGGTTTTAGGGAATAGATGTTTTCTCCTCTCTCATTTACCATAGAAAACCAAGCTAACAACACATCCATAGGAAATGTTCTTTGTATTATATTAGGGAATAGGCAGTATTTCCATACTAAAGTGGGCGAATACCCTCTAGAGCCTTAGAACACTGTAGAGATAACTCTTTAATGTTGCTTCTCCCAGTATTTAATTTTTGACTGTAAAGGGACCTAGAAAGAAGAAATGGAAGCCAGAAAGCTGAGCCAAAGGGAACTCTCTTTGGTCATTGAGGATTTGTGCTATTAACCTTTCCTAATAAACCGAGCATGTTGAGCCTCCCCCTCCTCCTGCCCCCAGTGTATAGCATCTAGCACTTTTGGAGTTGCCCTGTAAATATAAAATGACCTTGCTGCCTGTATTTATGAGGCAGTTAGATGCTGAATGGGATGTCATATAACCTAATACTCCATATAGAAGCTTCTGCTGAAATGTATATGCAGTAAAGACAGATTTACAACTGCCTTGAGTTTCCCTTTGAATTTCCAAGATTTATCTGAGCTTAAGGTCTCAACATTAGTTTCATGCTGCCAGAGCATTTTTCAGAATTCACGCTAGAACAGAATTTTGGGACTAGTGCTGAATTTCCTTTGATGAACATATGCTTTTGGTCTCTCATTTTCTCCAGAGGCTTTGACTGAAATTGAGGGTTATGGTCTTCATTTTGTTTTAGTCATTTACCATGGGCCACTATCAAAAATGCTTTTTCTTAATTGGAGCATTTTGGGAAAACTAATGAAGGAAAAATCTTGTCCCTTAAAAATTGAATCACAGCTGTAGTAGTAGATAAGACTGACATATTCAGTTCTTAGAAAGAGACAATCAATGTTGAATGCATCGGGTGAGTTCATTTCTGGAGCTTGGCTTTAATAGCTTATAAAGAAGATTGATTAAGTTCTTGTCTGATAGATCAATAGTGGAATGAAACTGAGCTTCCCTCCTTCCCCTCATAAGTGTGGATTCCCTATCTGCCTGGAGGCACAGAAAAGGCAAACATTTGTGCCTTGCTTTTCTTCAACGTGTTATTAACAGCAGCTATTATAATAGGGACAATATTTATAAGTTACCTAGATTGATTTATTATATATTAAACATTTGAGAAAGTTTATTAATTCATCTAACAAATAAGTCTATTTCTTTATGTTGCTGTGAATAATTCTGGCCTAGATAAGGATAAAAGTGATGACATTGAAAACACAGAGAAACGTCATGGATTTAAATCTTGAGATTCCGAATCTGCTCTTTATTCTAATCTGTGTAGCAAAAATTAGTTTATGAGTGTATAAAATTTTGGTTTTATATGTTTGTGTTAGATTTTAATGTGGAATAGTTTTTTATTAAATTAAATAATTTATTTTGTTATGTTAATAAAAATGCATATACATAATTTATGTGTTTACTCTTTAATTCATTTAATTTAATTCAATTTACATAATTTATACGCTTCTATTCAGGTTTTTTCGTTATTTTCTTTCTTTTTTCTTTAGCCTCATGGAATAAATCATGGCTGTTGAAATGAAACTGTGAAGCATGATGATTAGTTAGATAATTATTAAAAGTTTTCCATAATGATTAACTTGCATTTATTTGTAAAATATTTTTTAAATGCACTATCTCTAATTGCTTTTATAAACTGGGTAGGCCTTTCCTACTTATTAAGCTACTCCCCTACCATTTACATGTAACTAAATTCTCCTCTGATTTCCATGTGCTCCAAGAATAAAGACCAAAAGCCTTTCCCAGTCCCGTATGGCTTTGTGTAATCCAAACCTTACTTATTACTTCAGCCTCCAGTTACACCACTCCCTGACTCACACTGCCTTTTGTTTTCCTGCTATGTAGCCATTGAGACATTTTCCCCCCTTCTGCGGTGAACTCTTTCTCTCTGTAATCCTTCCCCCTTTTACCTGGTCACCTCTTACTTGACCTTAGTCAGCAGTTCATTCTTCACTTCCCCTGGGAAGCCTTTGATTCCTCAAAGGCACATAATGCTCTTCGATGGTCTCACATGACATCTTGAACCACAGTTTGTAGAATGCCTTTCTTGGTTTAATTAGTTGATCAATGTCTATGAGGACAGGGGCTAAGTCTATTTTTTGCTCATCTGTGCAATACAATAATAAGCAGGTAATAATAGTGTTCCTGGCACCTAGTAGATACTCAAAAAGTATTTATTTAATAATGAATTAGTGTCGACTATGGTACCACCTCGAACTATCCTTTTGCTTTAATCAGGCCTTCTCCCCGCTTTTAAAGAACAGGAAGAACTGCAGAATGCAAGGAGACCATTTCATAAAATGTATACACCAACTAACATTGCCTCTGATGGTTGAGAAACTGAATGAATCTATTCCTCCTTAAAGGAAAAAGAATCACATGATTTAATAAAGACTACTACTGAAGATTAATGTGTAAGTTCCTTCTTCTCTTAGAGAAAATTGGGAAGGTTTATGTGTGTGGTGGGGATGAGAGAGTGGCAATATACTGACAGAAGTGTTTGTGTTTGCATACTCACAGTAGAGGACCAGGAGAAGGAATGATAGTATTGTAAGAGTAAATACAGTGTTTTCCTCTGTGGCTTTACTGAAGCAAAGATCTATTGCCAACATCAAGGTGAGATTAAAATACTTTTTGTACAGCATCAGAAATAATTGTTTTTAGGGAGAATAATAGGCCATGGAGAGTAAAAGGGTGTTTCAGAGAAGCATATCTCTTCACACCTAAAAACACTCTTTTGGATACAAAGGGAAGAGCAGAAAGGAATTTATGAAATGAACAGATACAACATACATAATTGGGCAATATTGCAACCACAGATTATTCTGAGGTTAAAAATGGTATATTAAGAATACAAGAAGTTTTTCAAGTAAGAGAAATTGTTCTTTTTCTACCTTCTTTGCTTCATCTCTTTTCACTTTTTCTTCTTCACTTCTTCACATCTCTCATTCACTTTTTCTTCTTCTTGAATTTCAAAACAAAATTTATTACAGTACTTTCTAGGCATAGTGTTTCTTAACTTTCAGAAGTTGTGATGAGACCAAGTGGACCAAGGTGAACATTCAGTGCCTGCTTTGTCTCCAGCTCTTCCTTGCTTTTTTGTTTTTAAATGGCCAGGGCAGCCTTCTTGACCAAATTTATAAAATAGTAATAATGGCCAGGGCATGGTGGCTGATGCCTGTAATCCCAGCACTTTGGGAGGCTGAGGCAGGCGGATCACCTGCGGTCGGGAATTCGACACCAGCCTGACCAACATGGAGAAACCCTGTGTCTACTAAAAATACAAAAAATTTGCCGGGCGTGGTGGCACATGCCTGTAATCCCAGCTACTCTGGAGGCTGAGGCAGGAGAATCGCTTGAACCTGGGAGGCGGAGGTTGCAGTGAGCCGAGATCACGCCATTGCACTCCAGCCTGGGCAACAAGAGTGAAACTCCGTCTCAAAAATAAATAAATAAATAAAAATAATATAGCAATAAATGTTTCTACCCTGACAGGTTTTTAAAACAGAAATACTTTAAAGTTTCAGAAATATTATTTACAATAGAAGTTATTATAGAGATCGTTTAAAATTACATTAAACTTATTATTACATACATTAACATTACTATTACATATTAGCCGAAGTTGAAAGCACAGAGAGGTGTGTTTTATTTTACAACGAAGGCCTTTGTATGCTGCAATAACAGCAAGCATGTAATTTTTAATTAAACAGTCTTACTGATTTTTTAATAGTAGCATATGTATGGTAATATGAGAGGGAAAACTTTGGGATTTAGCCCTTTTCATAGTCTCAATGGCTTGATAGCTACAGTAGTGTTTGCATTTACTTTGAACTTTGTCTTATCAAATAATTTTTTAGACGAAAGCCATTATTCTGATCTGGCACCACATAAAGTTTATATTACTAATGCCTTTTAAAAATCATTTGAAATATATAAATTTCTAACTTTGGCTGGGTGCAGTGGCTCATGCCTGTAATCCCAGCACTTTGGAAGGCCGAGGCAGGAGGATCACTTAAGGTAAGGAGTTCAAGACCAGCCTGGCCAACATGGTGAAACACTATCTCTACTAAAATTACAAAAATTAGCCAGGTGTGGTGGGGCTGTGATCCCAGCTACTTAGGTGGCTGAGGCGCGAGAATTGCTTGAACCTGGGAGGTGGAGGTTGCAGTGAGCTGAGATTGTGCCACTGCACTCCAGCCTGGGTGACAGAGCAAGACCCTGTGTCAAAAAAATAAAAATTAAAATTAAAAATCTGACTTAAAAGGCTCAAATAAAACATTGTCTCTGTAGGGAGATACATTTGCCTTCTCCTTTAGAAAATATGGACAGAAAAGGAATATGAGGAAGAGTATTTGGCAATTTTGTAGTTGCTTTTATTTCTGTTTCACTTGAGCAGTTTATTGTCATGTTTTAATGAACATGAATTAAAATATGAAGAGTGATTATGGATCTATTTTAGGGTTAGTATTTTGCGATCACAGACTTATATTTTCTTTGCTGCAAAAGCTTTATTTGATAAAGATATAAACTGACTCCTTTGACAACTGGTAAAGTATTCTGCATGAATGTTTCTCAACCTTATTTGAGCAGTAATCTCTTTTCATTATAAACATTTTATAACTCCACTTACTATCCTGAGATTAAATTCATATTTAACATAACTTGCTACACACATAAATATTTTAAAAACTTAATGTAATTCACCAAATTGTTATGAAAGATAAGAAAAGGGAATGTGATTTATAATAAAATAATCCGTAGCTCAGGATGTAAATGCATGGTGGGACTGGATCAGAAGATGGAACAAAGTTGGCAGGGCTTGCCTGTGTATGATTGCTATGACTGTGACCATCGCTGGTAGAGCTGTGATGTATTGGCTACCAGGTGAAGTGAATTACCAAATGACTAATAATTCTTGGTACATTTATAAAAAACAGGATATAATCTTCCCTTAGTTAGAAGGTAGTTGTAGTTCCAGAAAATTCTGTTTATGTTAAACTTTTGGCAAAATGCGTTGTTTTTACTTTTAAAAAATGCTTTGTGTTTATATGTAAAATGGGTTATTTTGCATAATAATTATTAATGGATTTTTCCACTATAGGAGTGTTTTTCAAGATAACAGAAAATTATTCAGGATATGGGTCAGTTTTTGTTGTATGTGGGATTGATTTCCTTATTCTAAGACACCTAGCATCCCTGGCCTCTGCCTGCTAAATGCCAAAAAGACCCCCTCCATCATTGTAACAACCGAAAAGGTTCCCACATTTTCCAAAAAGACCCCTGGTGTTTTCCACTGAGAACCACATAATTACCAATGAATACTGCTGTATCCTAGATAAAGGAGATAGTGGCTCCTACTCCAAGCTAAGTATTATTAAATCTTTCATATTTATGTTCAATAACAATAAGTAAATAGGCTAAAATCATGTAAATATACAATATGATTTTTATCCAAAGATTAATTTTCAACTTGAAGATACCTGAAATTATAACAGATCCTCTAATGATGAGCATGCAACCATTTCTAGATTAAGAATTTTTAGAAGAAAAATGATTTTGGGATTTTGAGAATATTGGCCATAAAAATCCCCCAAAATTTTGCTAAAAAATGATCATGACCTCAACTAAAAGGCGTGCCTTAACAGTGAACTGAGGTCAAAAGGGGAGTGAGACAAAATGTGCATGGCATATGCGTTAGGGAAAAACCAGTTGTAGTGTGGTGTGAGTTAGGTTCCTTGGGATACAAACTCGGAGACAGCGTTTTGTGTGCAGGATGTTTATAAGGGACCCCTGGGGATCAACACCTGTGCAATCAAGACTGGACAGAAGGAGAAGTCAAGCTGTGATACAGTCTTAATACCTACTTTCAATGACCTCATGGGAGCTCCAAAACTAGGATAGCCTCTCAGAGTTGGACCAGGGTGTCCAGATATTTATAGTTTCAAAGTGGTCAGTCGTTGTATACAGGCTGATCCAAGAAGGAGTATGAATTTGAGCAAGTCCCCTCTTTGGAACTGCGCTGATCCCTGAAAGCCCTGACAGCGGAAGCCTGTCTGCTGACAGCACGCCCAGCAGAGAGGACAACAGGTCTTTTATTGAAGGGAGACGTGCATGGCACATCACAGTATTTACCACATAGATCTGGGCATCTGTTCAACTGGAATCCAAAAATTCAGGTTGGCAAGGATACCTGTGGGATCTGCTCTTTGGATGGGAAGCTGTGGCAGCAAGAACCTCTGGCATGGGTCATATTAATGGCAATATTTGCAATTATCATTATTCCAGACAGATCTAGCTATACTGAAAAAGAGAATGTGAGTATAGAAGACGAGTCCAGGCACCAGGAGCATAATAGCGGTCAGAGAACCAAGTCCAGGACCCCAGGCAGATTAGCTAGAGTTCAGGCAGGGTGTCAGCGCCAGTGGGGAAGAAAGAAACCAAGGAGCTGGAATACCGTCTGTAAGTTGAGACAGAAGGATAGCCATATGGCCTGGAAAAAGATGACAAGTTTGAGGAAATAGTTTGCATGTCAGAGGGAACACTCGAGGGACCCTGGCCAGAGGGAGGGATATATCCAGACACCCCATGTCTGAGTCAGGATAGGCTCAAAGGTTGCCCAGCACTGGACATCTTCAAAGATTTTTATTACTGTTTATTGCGTCAGGTGAAATCAACAACAGCTAAGAAAAAGGAGAAACACATTACAATGTAACTAGTATAAACAGTGGAAAATCACTGTGGTTTGAAGAAACAAGTTTTGGTTGAAGTAATAGTCCTAGCAAACTTCCTGCCTGGACTGTTTTTAGAGGATTTGGAAAAGCCAAGTAGCTGTCATCTCAAACTAAAGAAATCTGAGGTCTGTGTCTCCTAAAGAGAGGTGACTGTGGAACAGTAACACAGAATATCAGATTTCAATCTTCATGTTTCTCCTTTTGATGGGCACACAATCCAAATTCGAGATTTTAAGGTCCTGCACAATTTCGTTTCACCCACGTGTCCTTCCTTATTCCCCGGCCCCTTTCATGAGACGTGCTCCCTTCCTCCTCCAGTGCCTTAATGCAGCTTCTCCAGCTTCCGCAGCTCTTTACTCCAATCCCAGCCATCTGGGCTCACTTCAGATCACACCTTCCCTATGGAGATGACAAAATCTGCTCTACTGTAATGATGCTGGCAAAGCTTAATTGTTCTTCACTTATTTCATGGCTGTTTGTTTTATCTTCCCAGCTAAATAAATTGCAGTTCTTTTGAAAGAAAGGATCGGCTGGGTATGGTGGCTCATGCCTGTAATCCCAGCACTTTGGGAGGCCAGAGCAGGCAAGTAACTTGAGCCCAGGAGTTTGAGACCAGCCTGGGTTGCATGGTGAAACCCCATCTCTACAAAAAATACAAAAATTAGCCAGACATGGTGGCGTGTACAAGTAGTTTCAGCTACTTGGAGGCTGAGGTGGGAGGATCACTTGAGCCTGGGAGGCAGAGGCTGCAGTGAGCCGAGATGTGCAACTGCACTCCAGCCTGGGTGACAGAGTGAGATCCTGTCTCAAAAAAAAAAAAAAAAAAAAAAAAGATCATGTCAAAAGTTTCCTTGTTTCCTTTATATCTTTCACAGTGCTCAGAAAAGAGCTGGTCACCAGGTGGCTGCTAGGTAAACAGAAATCGATTGATTGACTCAGCCTGAGTTTATGTATTCAAATTCACATTTCCTGAATTAGCAGACATGGTCTTGTTTTTAAAATTGACTTTATAAGATCTCGTGTTTTCTTATATCTGATGGTGATGAAAATGTCTCACCTCAAACTTGTGAAAATATGAATTCCAATGAAGATAATTTTTTTCTTCCTCTTTTAGTGAGTATGTTTCATACTGTAGTCAAAATTTTAGATCTCTCTGAGAATTAACTTCTGTTTTATTACAGTGTGGCAATGCCATCTATTCATTGTCCTGAGAGATGCCTGCCCTGTCATCTCTCCTATGATCAGGACCCAAACTGTACTAAGTAGTAGCTATAGGGCAACATTAATTATTCTAGGGAATGTGTTTCTTTGGTAGAATCTGAAGTTCAGGATTAAGAGGACATCTTTCACTTGTAACATCTTGTTCCATTTGTGTTATTTAATTAGAGATAACTTCATACTATTAAGAGCTACTACTCTTGGATCAGATGCTGTTTTTTAAAGCTCAGTCCCATAAACCTCTATAGTCCACAAATATCATTTCCTTTTTGTGATACCTCTACAATATGAAGATTATATTTAACTCTCCTGGTTAATTCATTAATCTTATGCTTTATTCTTGACTTTATTCAAGGGGGGTAGGCATCGTGATAGGTATAGAGACCACTGTAATGGGGTCTTGCAGTGGATGAGAGACACTGAACTCAACTCCAAATATAACATGGGCAAGTGGGGATTGTAGACAAGGAGCAGGGTGAGCAGGGTGAGCAGGGTGGGGATCAGTGGATGGAAAATTACTAAGCAGAGACATTAGGGGTGAGAGATTCTTACGAGAGCAGCTCAACAGAATTGTTGCTGAAGGCAGGCCAGGGTGATAAGATATCCAGGGTGGTTAGACACTAAGGGTAAGGAGGTTTCCCTACACTGACTTAGCAGGATTCTTGCTCAAACTGGCTTGTACAAGGACAGAGAAGAAAGACCAAGGTCAAGCCTAGATGAGTACACATCTCAGAGGAGCCTGATTAAAGTTAGGTTAAGGAGGGGGTCTTTGTCACATGTTATTCTTTACATTTTACATGAGTTACTAATCATGATTGTGTTATACTTATGTGTTTGTACATATGTAATGTTACATGTAAGTATACATATAATATCTATTACGTCAATGAAATTTTTAAACAATGCTTATTATTTATTAGGCAAATATTTATGAAATGCCTGTGATGTGTCACTTATATAGGTACTAGAAATACAGAAGAGGGGCCAGACAAGGTGGCTCATGCCTGTAATCCCAGCACATTGGGAGCCTGAGGCGGGAGGATTGCTTGAGCCTAGGAGTTCAAGACCAGCCTGGGAAATATGGCAAAACCCTATCTCTGCAAAAAATATAAAAATTTGCTGGGCGTGGTGACACATCCCTGTAGGCCCAGCTACTCAGGAGGCTGAAGTAGGAGGATCACTTGAGTCTGGAAGGTCAAGGCTGCAGTAAGCTGAGATCAAACCACTGCACTCCAGACTGGTGACAGAACAAGACCCTGTCTCAATTAAAACAACAACAAAAAAAACCCAGAATAGAAGAAAATAGACAAAAATTCTTGCCTTATATTGTAACAGAGGATACAGACAATAACAGGTTTGAAAAGGGAAGACAGATAAGGAATAAGATAAATAAGTAAAATAAAGCTGAATAGGGAGATATAAAATGCCAAGAGGTTTTGTTTGTTTTTAAAGTTTAGTTTTGCTTTGCTGAAATTTTAGATAGGCAGGTTAGGGAATAAGAGGGTGACCTTTGTGCAAAGCTCAGAGAGAAGAGAAAGATGGAGCCACATAGATTTCTGGGCAAAAAGCATTCCGGGAAGAGGGAGAGGTGAGTGCAAAGACCCTGAGGCAGAGGGCCAAACATGCTCATGGAATACCAAGGAGGGGAGTGTGGCTGAGGGCAAAAGATGGGGTGGGGGGAGATTAGTTAGAGATGAGGTTAGATCTAAAGTAATGGGGAGCCCGATCCTGGGGGAATCCACTCTTGAAAGCTGTCATCAGGACTTTTAGTGAGATGTAAGCCACTACAAGGTTTACAGCACTGTGATGAAACAGTTATTATGACTATACCCATTCTACACGGTATTGTACAAATTTTATAGGGAGACTGCATGTAGCTCTTCATATTTAAAAAAAGGGAAAAAAATTAAAACACCTTGAAAAACACTCTCATACTAGAGTCACTGATAATATAATCCTATTGTATTTTTCTAGGGAGAGATGCCCTAATACTTATTCATGCATAACAGAAAGAGAGTTCCTTTATAATCTCAAGAAAACAAGACCATTTCATTTGGTAGATTTTTAATTGGGGAACTCCTGAAATTCCAGTAATGGAACATGAGCAAGGGTAGTGGAAAAAGTATTGGATTTGGAGTTATCTATATTTTTGGCTTCTTACTCCATTTTTACTAGCTTTCATTGATGGAAAGCTCACTAAGTGCCAGGCATTGTGCTAAAACCTTTAAGTGCATTACCTAATGTAATTTTGACAACATCCTGTCCATTAGGTACTATTATTTGAAAGGCGTAGATAGATAGATGAAGAAACTGTGGATTATAAAATTTAAATAACTTTCTTAAAGTCTTACTGCTGATAAGGGGAGGAACCTTTATTTAAGCGTACAAGATGTACAATGGCTTCTGATATCAAATCTCACATTCTACCTTCTAAAAAGCAGTTTAAAAAACCAATCCGTAATCACTGTGGCCAAGGGAGGTTTTGAAAAAATAAATAGCGGAAACCTTTCCATGTGTCCCATTCTGGACTTTTTACACCCAGATGGGACCAGGGGTCTCTTTACTTCAGGACTTTTACTGCCGAGTGCTTAGATTTTTACTTTGTGCTTGCTTAGAGTGACACTCTAAATATTAAAAGACGGGTTTTCTTTTTGTTTTTCTCTTCCTCTGTTTTCCTCTCTCTTTTCTCCTCCTCAGATAAGAGAATATCTACATATTGTCTTTACCCCTTCTGTCATTAGTGGTAATGGCCCCTATGTACTCTTCTGTGACTTTCCCACATTCATATATAAACATATATATTTCTTTTGCTTTAGAAAAATGGAATCATGTTATATAGACTTCTCTGCATGTTGTCACTTGACATTGGGAAAAATCCCTTGAAATCAGCTGATATTCAACCATTTCCTTATTGAAGCCGTTTTCTTTGTTTCCAATTCTTTGTGTTTCCGTGAACATATTTGAACATACAGTCTTACCTATTGATGGTTTTATCTTTGAGACTGATTCATAGGAATAGCATTGCTATGACTAGGTGATATATAGTTTAATTAATTTGTTATAATTAATTTTTAAAATTTAGACGGGGTCTTGCTTTGATGCCCAGGCTGGAGTGCAGTGGCATGATTATAGCTCATTGCTGCCTTGAATTCCTGGGCTCAAGGGATCCTCCAGCCTTGTTAAATGTTAAATCCCACAAAGTGCTGGGATTACAGATGTGAGCCAGCATACCTAATTTATATAGTTTTAATTTTATAGATATTTCTGAACTACTTTCAAAAACTTCTGTAACAGTTTACATTTGTAGCAACTAGTTGTTGCTATATGTTGAAATATAGCCATTTACCTGAGTCTTCACCAGAAGTAGATGTTACTTCTCCTTTTAATTATTTCTAATTTGATAGCATAAAATATCTCATGGTATTCTGATTTGCCCTTTTCTGTCTGGTAGAGAGGCTTAACATCTTTTTATAATTGTATTGGCCATTAGGACTAGTTTGTAAGATGTGTATGCAAATGCTTTGTACGTCTGTTGGGTAGTATGTTGTCTTATTTTAAACACTGAGATGAAATTCACATAACATAAAACTAACCATTTAAAAGTGAACAGTTCAGTGGTTTTTAGTACATCCATAATGTTGTGTGACCACTCCTACATCTAGTTCCAAAAATTTTTTTTCACCCGAAAAGGAAATACTGTACCTATTAACAGTTATTCCTCATTCCTCTTCCCCCAAACCACTGGCAACCACCACTCTGCTTTCTGTTGCTGGAGATTTACCTATTCCGGGTATTTCATATAAATGATGACCTTTTGTATCTGTTCTTTCACTTAGCAAAATATTTTCAAGGTTGATCAATGTGGTTGGTATATCTTGTTTTTTTTTTAATCAATTTGAAAAGCTATTTGTAGATCTAGATTTTAAAACTTTTTGTATCATCTGGATTATAAAATTAATATAGTATTTGGCAATGGATTTTGTTTATAGAATTATTTGTCATATAAAAGAGTGTAATATTTATACATTCAGATATTTCTATCTTTAACCTCTGGGTTGAGCATGCAGTCTGCTAAAGTTTCTCTGAATGTTTTTATTGATTTAGGTTCATATTTAAATTTTTAAGCAAATTGGAACTTTGGTACATGAGATTTCTTTTGTCTCAGAAGGATAGCCACTAGTTTCATTGTTATTTTTAAGTAAATTATCCTTTCTTCACTCAGTTGAAATTGTACCTTTCTATATATTAAATTCCTGCTATTGCCTTTTTCTGGTTTCTCTAGTTCATTCCACTGATCTCTCTGACTATTCTTATGCCAATACCATAGTGTTTTGATTCAGTGGTTTTGTATTTTTCATATTTTTCTCTCCTTGTTAAATGCTTTCTAAGTTTATATTAGTACAATTACATTTTTTATTAGAGGCAAAAAAAGTTACTCTTTTGAAAAATTTTGGCACTTAGAAGTAACAATTATGAACTCATCTGAAATAAGTGGCTATATAATATACTCATGTTTCTGTTGCTAAATCTGTAAATTTTAATCCTGGATATCAAGAAAAGATTGCTGGTTGCCATTTGACTGGACTTCCGAGAAAAATTACAGAGATAAAACCCTTCCTATATAAATCCTTCTGTAAATCATGAGTGTTTCATACTCGGAACTGGCATCACTGCATCAATCTGTGAGCGTGTTTAAATGCAAAGTGCAGAGTGATGCACAAGCTTTCCTTGGTGATGCTGTGTGTAATCTGTTTGCTAGCTGCCCCTTGCAGGGCCTGTCACTATGCCTGGCTTCTTGCCCCCTGATTACTAAAGACCATTGAACTCTTATTCATGAAGCGTTTTCAGGCAGCCATTGTATACTCATTACTGGGTAAGATCAAGAAAAGAAGTCCTTACTTGTTCTAGCTTTGAAAAACAAAGACAATTTTTCCTTCACAAAAAGAAGACACAAACTCTACCCTTGAGAAAAATCACAGCACAGTTGGGGAAATATAAATATTTATAATTATATCTAAATACGTCTTCAAATCAACATTTATATACACACATTGCAGTAGTAACTTACATTTGTAGAGCACAGCTCTTTATAGTTTAGAAAGTGTTTTCATCAAAATTGTTTTAAGAGGATGTTCCTACAACATTTTGAACGATGTCTAGGAGCTATTTCTGTCCCTAATTTAATGATGTTCAGAATAAGACTTTTAGGGTAAGCAAGGCCAAGAACCTTTCAGAAAAGATGGTTTCATTCCTGCATTTCTTTAACCAGGTTTATTTATTTATTTATTTATTTATTTTTGAGACGGAGTCTCGCTCTGTGGCCCAGGCTGGAGTGCAGTGGTGCGATCTCGGCTAACTGCAAGCTCCGCCTCCCGGGTTCACACCATTCTCCTGCCTCAGCTTCCCGAGTAGCTGGGACTACAGGCACCCCCCACCACGCCCGGCTAATTTTTTGTATTTTTAGTAAAGACGGGGTTTCACCCTGTTAGCCAGGATGGTCTCGATCTCCTGACCTAGTGATCCGCCCTCCTCGGCCTCCCAGAGTGTTGGGATTACAGGCGTGAGCCAACGCGCCCGGCTAACCAGGTTTATTTTTTAATGGAGCCATCCTTGGCTCTCAACACCTAACTTATGGAGCATCTTTGTTTTTTCCCCAGGAGTGAGAGTATACAATAGTTTGGTGGACATTTAAACTGTATATAGTATAAATTGTTCTTGGGGCTGGAGATCTGGGAGAGAACAAGACTTGACATGGTCCCTGCCCTCATGCAGAGTGTGTTTGTGTGTGTGTGTGTGTGTGTGTGTGTTTAGGAGGGATGTGCATGCAGGGCAGGGAAGGCAAGGATAATAGATATGTAAACAAATAATTAGCATTGTGATAATTATACAGCAGGCTGGTATATGGTACACATAATTATTGACCTGACCTTGATAGATATCAAAGTGAACTTTCTGAGGAAGTGACCATTAAGCTGAGTATGCAACTGCTTAGGGGAAGCAGGAAGGCCTTAAGGGAGGGAGCAGAATCGCACATTGAAGAATCTGGAAAAAGGTGGGAAGCACTGGAATAACAAAGTTCTCTGGAAACAAAGCTAGGGAGTGGGTTGGGGGCCAGATTATGCAGGCTTGTGGGTCAAGGAGAGGATAATGGAAATTATCCTTAGGAGCCGTGAGAAGTTTAGGAGTGACATGGTTCTATTAGAGTGCTATGGCTGGTTCAGAGTAAGACATAAGAAGAGAGGCCAGTTAGAGGCCTGTTGACAGAATTGAGGTGATAAATGTGGGTAACTTGGACTGGAATATTGGTAGTAGAAAGGGAAAGAAATGAACAGATTTGCAAAGCATTTAGGTTATAGAATTCACAGGTCTTAGCAATTGATTCAGTCTGGGGAGATGTCGAGTATATCTCCCAAGCTTTTGACTTGGGCTTGAAGAAAAGACTATTTATAATAATTGGGGCTGGGTGCAGTGACTCACGTCCGTAATCTCAGCACTTTGGGAGGCCAAAGCTGGTGGATCGCTTGAGCTCAGGAGTTCGAGATCAGCTGGGCAACGTGGTGAAACCCCATGTCTACAAAAAATAGAAAAATTAGGCGTGGTGGCTTGTGCCTGTAGTCCCAGCTACTTGGGAGGCTGAGACAGGAGTATCACCTGAGCCCAGGAGGCGGAAGTTTGCAGTGAGCTGAGATGCACTATTGCACTCCGGCTTGGGTGACAGAGGGAGACCCTGTGTCAAAACATAAAATAAAATAACAATTGGTTCAAAATATTTTGAAAATTGTTTTGGTTCTATCTGCATTGGTGCAAAAGGCAAAAAAGAAAAAAAAACAGGAATGTGCTTATGTAGACATTAAAGCCATAATGACACACCAAATATTTGCTTTAACTAAAGAGGGCTATGGTTGTACAGAGCTGACACAAATATGATACACTATTGATAATAAAACTGAGGTCTTGCCCTCTATAAAAGTTAAACTAATTATTTACACTTGCATATTCACTCACATTATTTATTATTTTCTATTTAAAATCATTATTTTTATTGCAAAACAGACTTAATTTTATTCTCAGCCTATAAACCTTACTATAACTTATCTATATCTGCTAAGCACAGAGTCATTTTTGTTCCTTTAATAAGTGTAGTAATTCGCATTGGCTAATGGTATAACTATGATAATTACATAATGTAGTTGTACTCTTAACCACTGCCTTATTACAACAATTTTAAATCTTGTTATTTTTTCCTAGTGGAGCAGAGCATATGGTTATCCAATTTTTTTTACTACATTAAAAAAACACACAACTTTTCTTGCTTTTCTCTTATCTTTTGCCTCAATCCAGTTAGCAAAATTTTACATGTAGTTTGGAGATTATACTTGCTATTGGGTGAAATTATATACCCTGTGCTTTTTTCCTCGTCCTGGATTAATTTGGGTTTTCTTCTTAGATCTTTTACTTCCGGGATAGTGTGTACAGTTTTTCATGGCAAATCATAAACTTAGCACATTTTACTGAACAATTCACTCATCTTTTCAACTACATTATGGTAGATAGTTGTGGAGAGGAGGGTTTGGTGTTAGTGATTAAAATTATGAATAGAGGAGCTGGGTACAGTGGCTCACACCCTGTAATTCCAGCAATTTGAGATGCTGAAGTGGCGGGATCTTTTAAGGCCAGAAATTGGAGACCAGCCTGGATAACATCGTGAGATCCTCTCATAGGTGGGAATTGAACAATGAGAACACTTGGACACAGGGCAGGGAACATCACACACCAGGGCCTGTCGTGGGGTGGGGGCATGGGGGAGGGATAGCATTAGGAGAAACACCTAATGTAAATGACAAGTTAGTGGGTGCAGCAAAGCAACACAGCAGATGTATACATATGTAACAAACCTGCACGTTGTGCACATGTACCCTAGAACTTAAAGTATAATAAAAAAAGAAAAGAAAAAAACAGTTTTAACTATTATTTGGGTGTGGTGGCGCATGCCTGTAGTGCCAGCTACATGGAAGGCTGGGGTGGGAGAATCACTTGAACCCAGGAGTTTGAGGCTGCAGTGAGTTACGATGCCATTGCACTCCAGCCTGAGTGGCAGAGCAAGACCCTGTGTCTAAAATAATAAGAAGAATGAATACAAATATAGTGAACTCTTATCTGGAGTGATTGAAAAAAGTGCAAACCAAATATTCATCTGTGTGTATTCCATGTATAATTTATAGATGATTAATTTTCCAATAACTATAGCCAGATTAATTTCCTCTAAAAATTAAACCAAGTGTATTGTATTTTGGCCTTTGAGGAGTCAGAAAATGCCTCAGGATTTTCCAGAACCTGACTCCAGCATGTTTCGGGGGGGGATCTAGCTGTTATTCCAGACTTCTTTATGCTTCCTTTATAAAGTTGCAAAAGTTCTGAGTAATAGACGTTTTGAGTATTCAGAAAAGATAGCTTTTCTCAATATGTCAGATCTTCATTATATATATCTAAGACATGCTAAACTTCTCAAGTTTTTTAATAAAACCATATTATAAAGGCATAAAATAAAGTTTTAAGGCTAGTGGGGCCAGGTCTAGGAGGTGAAGTGGATAGTTAAAATAATTAAAATGCAAAGTTTAAAATTGTTATTTTATTTAAAAGCCTAATAACTTAAATCCTAACTCACCATAACCATTAATTAAGTGGATTTGTTTTTCAGCACTGGCCTTGTTCACCTTAGTACTGAAGTCCATTCAAGTTCAACTCAGTCTTATTAGTCTTCATGCTGCCCCAGAAGATCACTGATGATCAGCATGATCAGAAGACCTTTAAAGGTTGCAAATTATGAAAAAAAGTATTAGATTATGTTCAATGTACTATGCCTGAATTAACCAGAAAACTTAATAGTGAAATACTGTGTTTATTTCTAATTTTGACAGCATTATTTAATTTGGAGAATTTGGTCAAAGAAACATAAGAGCAAAATGCATTTGTTTCAATAATTTGTGAAATTCAGAAGGTTGTGATGCTTTTTTTACTTTTTAATTATCCAGAGGCAAATTACATTCTTCTTCTCTTTGACTCTTGAAACTCGACCTAACATGGCTATTACAAGAAACAATAACAAATGTACTTGCTGCATTATTCTCTTGGTGCTAGTTACATCCATCTGTGTGACTTCTTAATGACTTATTTTTAATCCTGCAAGATTTTACATAGGTCAAATAATTACATTCATTTTCTTTATTTTATTTGTCTCCCTGAAATTGCTTAATGAAAGATCCACACAACTACTATTCACAGCAAGAAATGTGGCCATACGTGGGAAACATCTTTGGAAACTGTAAAGGCCTCACAGATATGTAATAATGGGAACGATGATGATAGTGTGTGTTTTGAACAAGGCTGATGGCAGAATATTCCCTAAGCATTGACAGGGAGCCCGGGAGGCAACTTTCCTGGAGGAGACTTTATAGTACTTAGCTTCTGCATTAATTTGAATGTGCTCATCTGCTGTACTGAGATCTTGTACACTGTTCGGCCCATTTCACTCTCCAATGACAGGTGTGGTGCATCTTGTTGGAGAACTTAGCAAACATCTCAAATTTCAGACCAACAGGTAGCCTTTGTCTCTGAGACATCCTTTCTATGTGTTGATTTCATTTGTTTCACCTCCTTTTACAAGGCCTGACTCCAGGCTCATTCTTTCAGAAAGCCTCTTTTTTTCACTGTTCTGACATGAAGGGCCAATGCCTTTGTTGCTCTTAATATTTGAACTCTTATTTTGACAACAGATTTATTATCAGTGTTGTGACATCTCTCCTTTTGCTTTCTGGAATCCTTACTCACACCCATATATATTCAGGTAAATTTCATGTGTGTTTGCTTTATGTTTCTTTTCATATTGTAAAACTCTTGAGATGTAAAGCCATAACCTTATATCTCTTTGGATGCCTCACAGTGCCCAGAATCTAAGAAAATTTATGTTTAGTTCAGTTTTTGTTGATTTAATTTTGATCACCAAAGATATATTCAAAAAAATTTTTGTGCCTAGAAAACATATTAGATTTTTTAAACAAAAGAAGTTTACTTTTCATAGAAAGGATGGTGGGTGATATGGACAAAGGAAAGATACAAAAGGTGTTTTTGCTGCAGTTTTATGGTCATTTTCCCATCAGATTGAAGATACTTAACATGGTTGTGCTTCATAGGGTCCTTAAACTCCCTGAAATTATGTGATTAATATAATTTGTAGAGAATTATAATATGTAGAGAAAGAGCCCATGGTTTTTATCAGATTTTCAAAGGTTGTAAGTGACTCAAAGATAACTGAGGGTCTGAGTTAGAAGGCACCACAACTAAAATACTCTGTAACAAAGCTGGTGTCAAGGGCTTTTTGTTTGGATGGTGATAGTATTACCATAGTAATACCATATTATTGCCATAGAGGAATGTTGTTTGTTGATCTGACTTCATCATACAACATTAATACATACATGAAAATCCAAGTTTTTGCAAGTATAAATTTGGTGATATTATTCACTTAAGGAAATAGTTAAGTAAAATTTTAGGTAATGAGCTCCTAGACATTTAACATTAACTTATGTGTTGTATTTCAAAAATACATTTCCTTTGCTCTGGACAAAAAGCATACCAGGAATTCTATAATTTGCAACAGAATAAATTAGCCCATAAATGTGCTGCATCTGCCTGTGGGACAGACATTATTTTAAAATGTTGTCTCACAGAAGTGAAGGCATTTCTTGATTTCATGTGTGTGTATTTGTTTTGTTTTGTTTTTAATTCTGTATGAGACTTCACAGCAGCTTAATATTGGATTCACAATTAGTGACTGAATAAACATCTCTGTGTGGATTGATTTAGCTCTGTTCATGTATTCATTATGTGGGTGATCTTCTAATACCTCAGCCTCCAAGTTCCTTGACCCATGCTCACAACCCAGATCAGTGGTTCTCAGTGTAGACCTCAGACTGACAGACACAGCATCACAGAGAACTTATTAGAAATGCAAATTTGGGGGCTCAGCCCTAAATCTGGAATCTGAAACTCTGTAGTGTGAAGCCCAGCAATGCAATCCCTTTAGCAAGCTTTCTGGGTGACTCTGAAAGCTGTTATGCTACAACTTGCTAATAACAACAACTCTACCCCTTACTATCATCTCAATTTCAAGCTAACTGCTCTCTGACCACCATTAATCCTGCCAGCTCCCTACTTCCTTCTAGTATCTCAACTGTCCCATAAGAGGTCCATGAATCATTTTCACTTTTTTTTTTTTTTGTAATCATCTCCGTTATGTCCTCATTACTCCTATTAGATCCCATGGTCCATGATTGTAATCATTAAGTTCCATGTTCTCTCTCTCTGTCTTCGTTTTACCTAGACAAATTTCCACCTTGTTTACATCATCTCTCCAATGCTGCAGGCTCATCTGAGTATTTCTAGAGAAAAACTCACAACCATGCCAGCAATCCACTTTAACACTAACCCCAACTGAACCTTAGTACTACTGGAAATCCCAGTATATTACCTTAGTCTAGTCACTCTCATATTCCTTTAGCAGAGTATTTTCACATTCTGCCTCCCCTACTGTTTTTGTGGATAAACTGTCCATGTCTTTCCAAAGGCCAACCTCTAGCTCCTACACTGGATTCCATTTCCTGTCCCCTATTCAAGGAGATTTTTTCCAGTAATTATTTTTTCTCTCTCCTGCACTAGCACTTGTTCCTTCTCTACCTGGCCACTCCCATCAGCAAAATAAATATGCTGTCATATCATCTATTATTTTAAAAAATTCTCTTACCTGCAAATGCCCTGCTTCCTACTATACTGCTTGTTTGTTTTTATAAGAAAACTCTTTTTTAAAAGTTGTCTCTAGTCATTTTCTTCCAATATTGTCACTTGCAACTACCCCAGCCAGGTGTTCATTTCTACTGTTTCATCGAAACAATTTTTGTCAATGTCACCTAAATCTAATGGCTAATTCTTGTCAATGTGCCCAATGAGTTTCTGAATCCAATGGCTAATTCTTGTCACTGTCACCAGTGCGTTTCTAGATTTAATGGCTAAATCTCATTCTTCTTCTGACATGGCCCATGTACAATATCTGACATAGTTAATCAGCTCCCTCCTTCCTGAAATACTTTTTTGCACTTGGCCTTCAGGACACATCTCTTTCCTTGATTATCCCTCTCTCAGTAGCCATTTGCTGCTTCATCCTCATCCTCCTGACATTCTAATATGGAACTATTTCCAGGTTCAGTCCTTAGCCTTCATCACTTCATTATCTGTAATCACTCCCTAGGTGACACCATCTAGTGTCATTCATTAGTTTATATACCATTTAAAAGCTGGTAGCTCTAAAACCCATGTCCCCATCCTATACTACTCCCCTGAACTCAAAATCTATATATCTGTTTATTTGATATCCCCACTTGAGTGCCTAATAAGTCCCATTAATTCATCATGTTCCAAACTGAATTCAGATTTTTCTACCCTGCCCACCAAACCTGCATCTTCCACACATTAGTTAAAGGCAGCTCCATTCTTGCATTTGCTTAGGTCAGACACTGTGCAGTGATCTTAACTCACTCCACTCTGTTTTTTCTCTCAGCCTACACCCAATCCATAGTAAGACCTGGCAGCACTAGCTCCAGTTTACATCCCAAATATGACTGCTTCTCACTGCCTTACTTCTACCTATCTGGTCTATGCCACCCTTATTTTTTTGTCTGGATTGTTGTAAGAGCTTTCTAATTTGTCTCCCTGCCTTTGCTCTTCTCTCTATCCTCTTAGATGCTACTCTTAACCTAGCAAACAGGATGATCTCATTAAAAAGGAAATTGCATCATTTTACTTCTATACTCAAAGCTGTCCCAAAACTTTCAGTCTTATTGGAGTAAAATCAAACTCCTTGTTGTGGCCACGTGACCCACCATATGACCCTCCATGATCTTGCCGCTTCCACCTCACTGACCTCACCTTCTTCCACTCTTCCCTCTTGCCCAACCTGCTGTAGCTACAATGGTGCTGAGGCTGGCTCTCAGTAACCAAACCCAATTCCACTTCAGATCTTTAAATGCTCTAACCAGAGAGATCTGTATCATCTTGCTTGTTTATGTAAGGTTCTTTCTTCCCTGACTACCGAATTTAAAAGAGTAATAGCCTACATATAATCACTTTCTCTTTTACACCAGCTTTATTATTCTTGATGTGACTTCTCACCATCTGACATATCATTTAGGACAAACCACATGAAATTGTAGATAATGACTATTTTTGACCGACAAAAACTGCCAGTGCCTAGGGTAGTCAGGGAAGCCAGTTCGTATTTCTTGTTTGTTTGTAAGCTCTGTGAGAGAAGAGATTTTTCCTGTTTTGTTCACTGTTATAGCCCCAGCTAAAAGATATAGTGCTTGGTACATAATAAATACTCATAAATATCTATAGAATGAACTACATGAATGAGTCAGCAATATTTATAAGGTATCTACAATGTGCTATTCTTGTTTCAATCCCTGTATCCACTCTCTTTTCTGTTTTATTTCTCTTTATAAAAATGAGTCACAGGCTGGGTGTGGTGGCTCATGCCTGTAATCACAGCACTTTGGGAGGCCGAGGCAGGTGGATCACCTGAGGTTAGGAGTTTGAAACCAGCCTGGCCAACATGGCGAAACCTCGTCTTTACTAAAAATACAAAAATTAGATAGGCTTGGTGGTGGGAGCTTGTAATCCCAGCTACTTGAGAAGCTGAGGCAGGAGAATTGCTTGAACCCAGGAGACAGAGGTTGCAGTGAGCTGAGATCACACCATTCCACTCCAGCCTGGGCGACAAGAGCAAAACTCCATCTCAAAAAAAAAAAAAAAAAAAAGAGTCACCACATTTTTCAATGAGTAACTAAATTAATATGCAGTTCGGGTGATTCAAGGGAACACAGTAACTATTTGAAAAAATAATGTAATAGAAATTTATATCTAATACATTATATCTAAGTATATGCATATATCTTTATTTTACTAATTATGCTTTACTGGGACCACTAATAGAATTGTACTGAGACCACTGATAGAGCTTTTTTTTTTTTTTTTTTCAATGTCCTGAACACATTTTATCTGAAAGTGTGTGATACGCATGCTGGCAGGGCAAAAGTAGGATGTCATTAAACTGTTGCTTTAAAGAAGTGACAAAATGTTACTTCTTTCCAAATAAAACAGGATAAAATTTGAAAAGAAAGGCTTTGGGATCATGAAAAGTATGAGTATGGGGAACAAAATACCTTCTTTTAATTTTGCAGCAATGAATACGCTTTGAAAACTGAAATTCGTTAGAAAGTACTAGAAATGGTTTAGCAATAGAGTTCAGCCACAAAACTTAAGTCTGAGACTATGGCATGGGACACATTTTCACCAGTCATAATTTTAGCCAAGTATAGAGAGATGTGATTAGGAATACTCAAATACAATCTGGGGGAAAATAACCAGGAATCACATTTTAAAAAAACATGAAAATTGTGATGTCCTGCAAGACACTTAAAACTGCAACATCCGTTCTCTGAACAAGTTAACTGAGGCAAACTGAGAAGGCAGTATATATCCAGGAGCACAGCACACATTGGGCGGAAGATCTGGGATGAGAGCCCAAAAGTCCCATTTTCCTGTCTCATACTTTTGTATTCAAAATATTGCAATCTGTTACCTAGAAGAAGATTAGTGTGTAGAACTGAATGCTTTAATTTTACTGCAGGAAAAAGTAATGTAGAAAGAGCATAGGCTGTGATGGATATAAAATGTGTCTAAACACAGATATCTTTGGTTAATTAGTAAAATGGCAAAGACACTTCGAAAAACAAGAGAGGCACATAAATCTCTTTCATAAGTGTTAAATATTTCAATATTCACTCATATGAAAATCTTTTAATGGAGCTCTCACATATTTGTAGAAATAATTAACATTATATTTGAAGCATCAATTTTTTTGCCACTGAGCTAACATAACTTTTTATCATTATATCTTTGAATACTGTATTACTTATCTGATCTAGAACATTTCACATAAAAGAAAGCTAAAGTTAGCAAAAGAACAGTTCATAAAAATATGTGGTATCTGTGAAAACAGATATGATTAAAATAGTATGTGCTGTTTAAATGAATTAGAAGTCATCTTGGAAAGCCCAATGAAGTCTCCTCATCACACAGAGGCAGTTAGGAAGGCAAATAGGACTCCAGGGTGCATTAAAAAAGGGAGAAAATAATATGGAAATATTAAGTTGATGTGATATCAAATAATGATATACTTTCATCCAGAATACCGAGTCTAATTTCAGTCAGTGCACCTTAAGACATGTCAAGCAGAGAATGAAAATATCAGAGGAATGTGGAAAAAGGAGTAAATTGGGGATTAATTCACAGAAAGATAATTTATTTCTCCCAAATAAGTTTTAATAAGCAGGAAGTCACTTTTTTTTTTCAAAACATCACAATAAAGGACATTGGGCGACTGATATTTATAATAAAATAATTAGCAACTTAATGTATTAGCTGAAGTTTGGAACGATACACTTAAAACTAGTTATCTGGATTGGTCAGAAAAGCGTTGCAGATTTAAAAGATCTGAATGGGAACATCAGTGATGGAAGCAGAACTTCTAGGCTAGTGGTCTTATTCTTTTCCAGGTTGTGTATTTACCCTGGGCCTTGGTCCCAATCAACATGTAACATTTATTGTAAGTTTATGTGCATTTATGGTGACACAAAAGTGTAAAATAAGGTCTCTCATCCTTTTTTCCTAATTAACAAAATAAATTGCATTATGTGTTTTCTCAGTATAGAAAGAGAACATACATATTACCAGAAAGGAATTCCAGGCTGGAACATGTAGATTATATAAAAGCCTTTTTCACTACCAAGGAAACTTTGTGCCTATTACCTAGAAATAATGGCTGAGCTCACTATTGTGAAGTCTGGGGCTTCCTCTAAGAAAAGAAATGAAATTATTTTCTTTTTCTTTTAATATACTTGTCATTTTATAAAATGTTGGATTTATGTACTTTAACTTGGCATATAAATTTTATCTCATTTATCCTCATGTGCTTCTTAAAATGATTAACATTATCTTCATTTCAGAAATGAAGAAACAGAGTTTATAGTTGAAAGAATGAAAAGGAACGAGGATTCAATTCTAGGCCTTTCACTATGAGTCTATTTTTCAGGATTCACAATGATATTATTTTTTATAATACAAGTGACAATGAGGAAAAAAACGTGACTCTCATGGAACACTGCATGGAATCTGGGACTTTCTTTATCTTTATTTATTTTTTACATACTCAAATAGGAAAAGATTAGTCCCATAAACCTAGCACTAATTTTAACTTCCTCTTGAAATATTCATATTTCAAGAAATTGAAATTACTCATTACTAGAAATTGGACTTTGTAAATAATCTGAATTAAGCTATTCATTAATATTCTCTACTTTAATCACTTGTAGTTTTGGTCTTCCAAACATTTAAGTGATTTTCTGCCTTTTCCAGAGACTACTGTTATTCAGGTGCAAACATTTTTTGTTTATTTTTTCCAAAAAAGATTAGTAAAGACCAAGGTTTGGGAAGCTTAGAGGAACCAAGCTTATTTGAAAGTAGAGTTAAGAGAATGGACTCAGAGGGTATATTATTTAAATACCAAACAAAGGTATTCACAAAAGAAAGAGAGAGAAATAGAGCACATGAATAGTAGCATCTAAGCATTTAGAGCTTCGAATGGAACTTTCTTTCCTCTCTTATGAAATGTCTTTGAAAAGAATTTGGGGCCTTGATTGCATGTTTAGGACATCAGAGTACTAAGCAGGGGTAGGGAAATTCAGGGTCCTATTCTGCCTTTGCTGAATACTGTAGATTTTTTTCTACCCCTCACTGGTAATTATAACGTTTGGAAAGATGAAAAAAAGTGTTTTTTTTTTTGTTTGTTTGTTTTTTTTCTTTCTTGGAGAATGCTTTTCTTTCAAAGATTCTGAGTTTGGAGAAGATCTTTAAACTAAGGGGTACTAGACATAAGAGTCTTTTTAAGTCCTTCTTATCCCAACATTTGAAAAAGCATTTTATTCATAAAGCTTACACTGTTTTTTCACAGGAGCCATTTAATTCATTATGGAGTAGTATGAAGCTGTTGAGAGAGATATAGCAGCTTGATTCATTTGAAATCACAGGACAAATAGACTTTAAAAAGCAAATGCATCCATTTTGACACTAATTATGTGTCTTTTGCACATGCGGTATCTCATGTCACAAATTGCTCTCATTTGCTTCTCACTGCAGAATGTCTCTGAAATGAGATGAGTGGAAAATGCCTTAAACAGGTGGATGTGGAACAGGTCGGGGACTTTAAGGACTTCAGTGGAGGAGGGGTGGGTTGGGGAAGGGAAACAAATGAAGATGTCTTAGAAGTCACTGCAATTTATATGGAATCTGTTCAACGCCGACACTGAACCATATGAGAAGGTGGGTTATATGGCTTTTCAAATATCATGTATTCTCCTTACAATCAGAATGACAATATAACAGAGCCCATGATACCTCAGAAATTGTGCTAGGATTATTTTATTTGTATATGGATCATTGTCTTTGAACCTTAACATAAACCTGTACTTCTGTTCCCATTTTACAGATGAGGGAACTGAGGAGGTGAAGGAATTTATTGAGAAGATCATAAGTAATTCTAGGGGGATTAAAACCGAGGCAATCTGATTCCAGAGCCCTAGAGAGCTTTCCCACCAAGTGTGTAGGACTTTGTCCTGCATTTTTCTGATTCTAACTCTTCTACTTGGCTACCCAAAATTCTGTAGAAATGCTTTATGACAAACAGAAAGTTTAGTGAAGTCTATAGAATTAACCTGAGTCTGGCATCTTGCAATCCACTGTTGAATCTATTTAGCACAGGAGGAGAGCTTTATAAATGATGCAAGAGTTTCTTAGAGTTCTTTATAGAACAATTCAGATTGGGCTAAAAACAACCAAGAGAAGAGAAAAGCACACATTCATTTTCCCTGAATATGAACAAAAACAAAAGCAGTTGCTACATGGTGTGAATTGGAGGAATCTTATATTATTGAGCTGGTGCTTGTTGCCTGATAATGGACAAGACTAGCCTCACTTTTCTGTAACTAAGCCTGTAATGGTGTCACAGCCTATTTGATGCCAATTGGTGTTCCTGGGGTCCTTGGTATAAAGCAACCTTTGCAAATGAGTAGTCAAAATGGTTGGAATAAGGAATAAAACCAGAGAGTAAAAAATGAATAGCTAATTCAACACTTAATTTCTTTTAATTTTGAGAGCCTTACATGTGTGCTGCTACTATGAATGGGTGGGATGTTGATGGTGGAGGAGAGTTTTAAACTGTAAATTTGTTTTCACCTGAGCTGTAGAATTCAAAACTGGCATGCCTTACACGTAATGCAGTTTGACAGTTCATTTGAAATAAATGTGCCGATAACCCTTAAAAGTGGTAATAAAATACTCTTTGCTCTACTGTACAGATGATTAATACCACTAAAGTAATTAAATTCCATTAGGCTGAGGTTCACATACCCAAGGAATTGGTGCCAGGATTTAGCCGTTCTCTAGTGAGGACAAAAGACTAATGCCTTTTAAAGCCATGTTTCACTAGGAAAATCCCAGGGAAGTCTATATTAACTTAGGACATCTGCTTGTTGTGATTGTTTGAGGTATTGATGCATTGGATCATTAGCAGGGTAGCGTGAACTAGTGTTTTCCTGTTGACAAGGATCTCTCACCAGGAGCTGCTAGCTTTCTGCAAGGGGAGAGAGAAAGCAAAGCAGGGCAGCCAAGTTGAGTCCTGTGAATAGCTTTGACTTACAGAATTATTGCTAACTGTATAGTCTCTGATGGTAGGAAACAGCATTTTGCCCCCAGCCATTTTTCCCAAGATCAAAGCCAAAGTAACTCTGTCTCCTGCTGTTTTGTAGCTGTAGATTCTTAAAGACTGGCATTATTGTCGTCGATGAACAGTTTGCCCCCTTTCAGATGGTTGCAGTAATGACCCACGGGGGAGGCAGTGGTTAGGCAGTGCTGACAATGTGACCAGGTGCTGCAGCATAAGCGTTTCATTAAATATTGAAGCAATGGTTTTCAGTTACAGTGGCAAAAAGGGAATTTGGTCTATGTCCAAATATGTGGCTATTTTTTCCCTTCAGCCTCTTCTAATCACATTATTTTTTGCATGACCTTTCTGCTGGTAATTAGCTGCCGTCCTGAAAAGCATTGTGGGTAATATATCTAAGGTGATTCTGCATCCCCCTTTACAGGCTGGTAGTCGTTCTTAATGTATGTATGATTTATTTACCATCTTTTGTCTTAAAATTTACAAACCATAAAAAAGCCCTTATGATTATTTTGTTTCCAGCGATACCCACTGAAAGAATCCTGAATTTTCCAGGGAAAGATAGTTTGCAGAAACTGAGAATGGGACTTAAGTGCATTTAGAGTTAGGTTTTATATGTGTACCATGTGAAAAGCTGTTTTGTGGCTTCAACGCCCTGTTTCCATTTAAAGAATGTTAAACTTGTCTGTATAATTTGTGTAATTGAATTCACAACAGAAGAACTACAGTCATTTCTCAAAGAATGTGGTTGCCACTTTATTAGAGGAGCAGCATTACAATAGCAAAGTTTACTAGGCTGTCTGTCCTGTGACAAACTTTTTATTTATTTTTTTTTGAGGCAGAGTCTCACTCTTGCCCAGGCTGGAGTGCAGTGGCACAATCTCAGCTTACTGCAACCTCCACTTTCGAGGTTCAAGTGATTCTCCTGCCTCAACCTCTGGAGTAGCTGGGATTACAGGCATACATCACCACCACACCCGGCTTAATTTTTGTATTTTTAGTAGAGACAGGGTTTCACCATGTTGGCCAGGCTGACCTCAAGTGATCCACCCGCCTCGGCCTCCCAAAGTGCTGGGATTAGAGGTGTAAGCCACCACACCCATCAACAAACTTTTATAGGACTTCCTAAAGTTCTCTGTTTGCAGAATCCTTTAAGAGAAAGTGGGACTTTACATAGGAAAACATTTGTAAATTGTAATAAAATATTGCACACAGAAAACTCATTCAAAACGTCTAGAGGAAAGCCTGGTGACTATTGGAGGCTATGAGAGGTGAACTAAAACAACAATGTACCATAAAACAAACAAAACAGAAGCTCCGGGTAGGAAAGGCCACAGAAATTAAATAATTTTCTTCCCACTTATCCCTACCTTGAAAATCTTACCTATTGCTTAATAGCTATATTAAATTTCAAATTTTCTGAAATATCAAACTGAGTTTCTGCAGGTTAGGTGCACTTTGTCAGATTTCCACATTTAAGTCAGGTTCCTCTCTTCCTTTAGCAAAACTCTTTGGCACTTTTCTACCAAATGTAAACATGGTTTTGTATAATATTGTCATTCATCTGAGAGACAAACTAAACTGTTACATGTGGGCATTATGTTTTAGATGTACCATACTTGCCCATGAGATCACCAGCTCTATGTCAAAACCACATTAAAATAAGAATCTACTGTCAAATTTTCCTTGTTTTTGTTTTGATTGTAGTTAGGAAGAACTGAATTAAAATGTTATTGTAACCATTCTTCAATCTCTGTCTTTCTATCTTTCTTGTTCTATCATTATTCCTTTATTCTTCTTCCTCAATTCATAGATGTTAAATGTGTGTACCTGCCAGGGAAAAAAGTACTGAAAAGTGACTGTTTACTGACAGGTTTTTATTTTCTGACCAGTATTAGTAAGATAAAACAACTTTTAAAAAGAGCTATAAGAAGAATTTTAACTTATTGTTATTATTTCCTTTTGATTGTACTGTTCAGAACACTTTAGGAAATGACTACCTTCTTTTCATTGGCAAATTCTTTTTTTTTTTTGAGATGGAGTCTCGCTTTGTCGCCCAGGCTGGAGTGCAGTGACACGATCTCGGCTCACTGCAAGCTCCGCCTCATGGATTCATGCCATCCTCCTGCCCCAGCTTCCCAAGTAGCTGGGACTACGGGCACCCGCCACCACGCCCGGCTAATTTTTTTGTATTTTTAGTAGAGATGGGGTTTCACCATGTTAGCCAGGATGGTCTTGAGCTCCTGACCTTGTGATCCACCCACCTCGGCCTCCCAATGGTCTGGGATTACAGGCGTGAGTCACCACACCCGGCCAACAAATTCTTAAAAATATAAAAGTTTATATGTAATAGAAAAAAATTGAGGCTGCTGTAGATGGAGCAAATAAAGAAAAAAAGGAGGAAGACTTGTTTAAAAATGTAAATTAATCAAGCTTGTTTCAACCTATTCATGCTTAGTTGCTAATATTATCACCTAGCTAGTACTTTCATGTTGAAAATTGTTTATACTCCCGAGACTGTTTTAAGTAAGATGACAACCAGGCAAAATTCTAGAGTTGTACGTGAGTATGGAAATAAATACAAAGTGTCTCGTGCCAGTACCATTGCTTCTTGTAGACATAGCCAAAATAGCTCCTAAAAAATGTTCATGAGATTCCTCAAAAGAGCATATTTATCTATTTTCAAGTGCTGGATGGGATAGTTTCTCTGCCTCAAGAGTTTTCACAAGCAATGGTGACATCTTCAAATTTCAGTCTAGTGGGCTTGAAATATTTTTGGAGAAGACAGTATGCATTCAAAACCATTCCTTTTTTTTTATTATAATGTGAAAATTCTGTTTTGACACAATTTCTTCATTTCTTCATGACAATTTGCACACACAGTTTAAATTATTTCCCATTATTTAATTGTATTCTTTGGGCTTCTCTGAAACACATAAATATTAAGGATAGATTAATGCCAGAGAGTATGTCCAAAATACTGCTGGCAAGAATAATGTGACCAAAGGGAATTATCTTTGATAGAGGAAAGATTGAGATACAGTTAAGTGGAAAAGGGAGGGGATTGTTTCTAGGCTAGTAACTGAATGGTCTCTATTCAGAATGAGATTTTGTTATAATAATAATAATAATTTATGAAAGGTTTTCTTTTTATTGTTAAGCTTTCTTTTCATGATATAAGTGAGATTTTAACTTTCAAATTTTTTTGTAGGACTCCTGATTTTGTGATATGTGGCCTTAAAGATTCTAAAAGTATCTGTATTGGCACAGATTCCTCTATTTCAGAACATTCTATATGTTGCAAAATAATTTTGTAATATAAATCAATAAGCACTTATTAAGTGACTATAGACATATATTCTAGAAAATACTTTGGATAATATATCTGAAGTCTGATTTTATACTTTTAATTTTTAGAAATTGACTCTTTGGTGGCAGTTTCTTTGAGAGCCTTGTGTGCTGTTTTAGAGGTTAAGTTATGGCGTACCCTATATTTTGTAGAACACTGACACCCTGTGAAAAACAACATAGTATTCCCAGGTTAAAATGGAAAACTAATGCTTTCCCCACTTCACAGACCCTACATTAATTTTATAATGAAAATATTTTTCATTTAAAATTTTTCTCTAAGAGCTGCCCATTTTTGAGAGACACTGACTTTTATTGTTTAGGCTTTTGGGCTATGGTGGCATTGCCAGAGGGAGCCAGAATTTGATCAGCATAAGGAAATTGCAAGGCATGGTTTTAAAAATTAATGTACGTGGTTCAATAAAGAGTGGTAATTTGAAAGGATCCAGCAGAATGCAGATAGAAGATGGGGAACTGGGCATTGGAAGTTCTGGTGGTATAGGTAGCTGAGCCACATATGGACACAATGAAGGAAGGTGGATGACAGAAGCAAGAAATGCATCAATAATTGTTGCTGAAAGGAACAATTTTTTTCTCTCAGTTTTGGGGAATGAGTTGAAGGAACAACCCAGCAAAAGCAAAAGGAAAGTTCAAAGTTAAAAACAAACCAGGGGCACACAAGCAGCAAAGGGGAGCTGAGAGGAACCTGGGAAAGTCCTCATTTATTTGCAAGTTCTTGGTGATCCTTGACATGATGTGAACTTGACTGCTGTAACTTACAGGGAAAAATACACAGTGGTGTGCTGGAGCCGGCCAGTATTTGCTCACAAGAAACAATTGTTAAATTGTCAGTAATTTTGCAAGCCCATTATTAAACACAGCCATTATTAACAATTAAAATTTTACACTTACAATTCAATTCGGTTTATATATATATAATATATATATATATAAAAATTATAAAGATGGGGTCTTGTTCTGTCACCTAGGCTGTAGTGTAGTGGTGTGATCATAGCCCACTGCAGCCTCAAACTCCTGGGCTCAAGCAATCCTCCCACCTCAGCCTCCCAAAGTTCTGGGATTATAGGCATGAGCCACTATGACCGGCAAATTAACTATATTTAAAATAAATGTAACATATGTGCAAAACTTATCACTTATTACCTTATAAACCTTTACTTTTCTTTATAATTTTGAGTTCATTCACATCTATTCTATCTTTACCGTGAAAATGCTATATAATGATGTGCTATTTCCTATCCTCTACATTTAGTATCATCATCTTGGTAACCTGAAGTCAGCCATGATGGGAATATTTACACCATGAAAACTGGCAAGTGTTACAATCAGGGCATTTTTCCTCATCTTGAAGCTAAATGTCAAACATATACTCTTACACATTTAACTACACCTTTGCAAGTATTTGTGATTATCTTGATCATTCCATTAACAGGGACACTCAACTACACTTAATCTACAGTAGGTCCAATATCTTGTTCATATTGTTTTTAGTAGTAGAGATAGTAGGATTGAGGGCAGATTCAGAAGAGCAGGTAAGCAAACATCTTCTTGCTCAAAACTAGTATTCAGTAAAAAGAAATGAGGTGAAGAAAATTTGGCAAACTGTCTTCTGAGACATAGGTTTTCTTGGAATTTTACCCACATGTCAGTATGGAAAGAAATCAAGATTGCATTTTTCCACCTATTAGGGAAATCAACACACACTAAGACAGAAGGGAAAAGATCATTTTTAATAAATTTGACCAACTGTGGTTCTTAGGGCAAAAAAACTGTTCTTCTCTGAGTTATTAATACCTAAATAACAAAGTGGGATTGGAAAAGGCCCAGATATAGGTATATAAGTACAGATAACAGTTAACAGCATGCCAACCATTGCTCAAAAGAAAATGTGAGAAAGACAAGAGTCTATCCCTGGGGTTCACATTGCCTTAACCTGGGTTCTTGGACCTTTCTATCTTCACTAAAATATGTTTCAACTTATGATCAATTATGAGTACAAGAGAGCCAGAGGGTTTTTTTTTTTTTTTTTGGTTCAGGGTGCACAATTGCAGCTTTGAAATTCTTTTACATTTTCATTCTTCATGCTGATGAGTCAGTGCAGATTTATATTACCATGTTATTATGGATAGTGGAGACTGTGTCTCCTTGAAAGTAACGGCATGTGATTGCTTACTCCATTACTTTCAATGGGACTCAGTCGTTGCCATCCTTAGGGACTCAATCCATTGAAAGTAATAGTCTGAGACTGCCCACATTGTTACCGTGCTTTAAATTGGCTTGAATTTATACTAAGCAGTATGGGCTAGCCACAGAAGTCTCACTTTTAAATGATGTAGAGTTGATCAAGTTTTTTGGCCAGCATTTAGAAAGTTTAACTGCCTGTTTGGAGAGTATATTCTTATTATTTAAACCATCCATTTCTGAATATTGAAATGTTTTGACATTTAGCCTCTGAACTATTAGAGAAATTCACAACATTGCAAGAAATTGTTTTTAAACTTTAATCCTTTCTTAAATATGCTGTATTCTGGCATTTCAGGAAAAGAGAATTCTTTTGCCTGGACATTAATTAGGTTAATGTTTTTACAATAATAACTAAAGTATATTTTTAGAGCTAAAAAGAAACTCCACAATATCACATTTTAGATGAGGAAGCTGAAGTTTAAGGTAATTTGACATGGGTCAAGGTCACAAGGCAGACTAATAGCAAAGCAGAGACCAGAATGGCTCTGTGCAGGATTATCCAATCCCATTTAAATCTTTAGAATTAGTCTATTTTTATTCTTAAATATACTAGTGAGTTGTTTCAAGATAAATTGCACATTAGTACTCACACTTAAGTGATAACACATTTTAATTTTTCTCCATAAAACAAACATTTTAAGATCCTGTTAGCATAAAATACCTTTCTGGTAAAAACATTCATGGAGTTTGAAGTGGGGTAGAGGAGAAAGAAGGTATTGCATAGGAGATTGTATAAAATAGTGTTAAAAAACTGCCTCAGGTATATTATCTTTTATATAACTTTGCCCCTATGTTTATGTTGGAGTTTGGGAATGCAGAACATACTTTTAAAATCTGTGTTCTGTTATCAAATTGTTGAAATGCCCAGTCTTTTTAGACTACTATAAAAAAGTTTCCATTGTAACCTCTATAAAATCAGCAAAGTGTTACTTTATATTTAGTTGCTTTTACAGCTAAAACTTGGACATTCCTTGATATATGTAGCAAATAGTTGATAAAATCATTAAATGTTATTGAGTTTGTACCTTGTCATGAAAGCTAATCATTTGTGAATTGAAGGCCTTCCTCTTTATTAGCAGTGCCAATAGTGGAAAGTACTGGCCTCTCCTAGATATTCACTGTAACAAAAAAATTCAAAGCCCTGTCAATTATGTGATGAAAATGAGGGAGGTATTAGCTTTGATAATAATAACATAACCAGAAATTTAATTTATTATTTTGTTTATTGTCAACATTATTGATGCAAATATTATTGATATATAGATTTTTACCACATATACTTGTATGTAATGCATATCTAACTACTATTTGGATAGACAATTGAATTATACATATATTAGTTATGTTACTATGGGAATCGGATGTAACATGAAGGTGTAAATATGGATGTTCTCTAAAATCTCTTCCATTTCTAGAGTCTATGATTATATGGTTTAAAAAATACGAATTTCAGTCCTAGCAGCTAATTTCCTTTTTATTATATAACAAAATTTTATCCTACAACATTTTTTAAAAGTAAACTACTAATATGGTTTGGCTCTATGCCTCTACCTAAATCTCACCTTGAATTATAATAATCCCCATGTGTCATGGGAGGGACCCGGTGGGAGGTAATTGAACCATGGGGGTGGGTTTTTCCCATGCTGTTCTCTTGATAGTGAATAAGTCTCACGACATCTGATGGTTTTGTAAAGGGCAGTTCCCCTGCACATGCTCTCTTGCCTGCTGCCAGCTAAGAGGTACGTTTGCTCCTCCTTCACCCTCCGCCATGATTGTGAGGCCTCCCCAGCCATGTGGAACTGTGAGTCCGTTAAACCTCTTTTTCTTTATAAATTACCCAGTCTTGGGTATTTCTTCATAGCAGTATGAAAATAGACTAATACAACTACCGCACCAAAAAACGAAAAAACAACTATACTACCCTGTGCTCTTACAAGTCAGGGTAGTGGCTACTCTTGGAGTGGGTGTGGTGGTGATTGACAGATGAAGAGATGAAGAGAAGAAGGGGAGATTCTTGGTGCTATTAATGTTCTGTTTCTTGATCTGGGTGCCGATCATATGATTGTGTTTCGTTTGAGAAAATTCATCAAGCTGTGCACTTTTCTGCAGTTTTGAAGAAAACTGGATAAAACGTTTTGAAATGACATGCAAATATAAAGAACAGGTTTATTCATTTGAAAACATCTGACGTTCCAAGAGACTTAACCTCCTTTTAAAAGTTCATCTTAGAATTGTTTGTTTGGTTTGTTTTTGGTTTTGTTTTGTAATAGGAGAGGTTGACAAACTATGGCCCCTGGGCCAAATCTGGTCTTTTGCCTATCTTTGTATAATCTATGAGCTAAGAATGGCTTTTTACATTTTTTTTTTGTCACCCAGTCTGGAGTAAGGTGGCGTCATCTCGGCTCACTGCAACCTCCGCCTCCTGGGTTCAAGTGATTCTTCTGCCTCAGTCTCCCAAGTAGCTGGAACCACAGGTGCGTGCCACCATGCCCGGCTAATTTTTTTAGTAGAGACGGGGTTTGGGATTTCACTGTATTAGCCAGGATGATCTCGATCTCCTGACCTCTTGATCTGCCTGCCTCGGCCTCCCAAAGTGCTGGGATTACAGGCATGAGCTGCTGCGCCCGGCCATGGCTTTTTACATTTTTAAATAATTGAAACAGAAAAATCAAAAGGAGTCTGTGTGTGGTGGTTCATGCCTATAATCCCAGCACTTTGGAAGGCCAAGGTGGAAGGACTGTTTGAAGCCAGGTGTTTGAAACCAGCCTGGGCAACACAGTGAGACCCTATCTCTTCAAAGAAAAAAAAAAATTAGCCAGGCGTGGTGGCAGGTGCCTGTAGCCCTTGCTACTGACAGGGCTGAGGCAGGAGGATGTCTTGAGCCCAGGAGTTGGGCTGCAGTGAGCTGTGATTGTACCACTGCACTCCAGCCCAGGCGACAGAGGGTGACCCTGTGTACAAACAAACAAAAGAATAGTATTTTGTGACCCATGAAAATGATATGACATTCAAATTTCAGTGTCAAAAAGTAAAGTTTTGGCCGGGCCCAGTGGCTCACGCCTGTAATCCCAGCAGTTTGGGAGGCCGAGGCAGGCGGATCACCTGAGGTCGGCAGTTTGAGACCAGCCTGACCAACATGGAGAAACCCCCTCTCTACTAAAAATACAAAAAAAAAGTTAGCCGGGCATAGTGGCACATGCCTGTAATCCCAGCTACTTGGGAGGCTGAGGCAGGAGAACTGCTTGAGACCGGGAAGTGGAGGTTGTGGTGAGCCGAGATCAGGCTGTTGCACTCTAGCCTGGGCAACAAGAGCAAAACTCCATCTCAAAAAAAAAAAAAAGTAAAGTTTTATTGGAACACAGCCACACCCATTTATTCCTATTTTCTCTACCATTTTTTAGCGGGGAGGGGGTCTGCTTTACTGCATTACAGTTGCTTTTGTATCAAAATAGCAGTCCAAAAATAAGTACAGTCTGGCCTTTTAAGAAAACGTTTGTGGATTTCTGCTAAAGGGATCAACTTTAGGGTCAAGGGTAAAATGATACTACTATCATTTAAATGGTATATGAAATAAGGCACTAATTGGCATCATTTAACTTAGATATTACCCACACTCACCCAGATACTTATCTTTGGAGCCTACATTCATTGTTTATCAGATTCTGATAGCAAAACCAGGAGAGCCAGCAACCGCATTGGAAAAAAGTATTTTTCTTGAGGTATTGCTGCTTTCTCTCATGCTTTTATCCTACCAGTTTCTGGCATCCTTACGGGGCCAGTCTATCTCTGCCTTCACAAAATTCCTGCTGACTCAATTCATGCCCTTCAGCTGGTAATCTGGTTAATATTGTGCAGTCTTCATGTGGGATCACACCTGCCTTTGTCTTCAAGATGTGAAGTATTGATTTACCACAAGCACTCTTTGACCTTCAGAAATCTGTTGATAGTTTCTTCCCTTAATGATATGTCCTTGTTAAGGTTATTTCCTCAACTGGTATCAGCCATCTTCTAGAAATCACACACACACACACACACACACTCTTACACTTACACAAACATTCAGAGATGTCCATGTTGCCCCATGGGCAATTGTTCTCATATTATTTCTCCTCCATCTAGTACATACTTGCAGTTTCCTTGGATATGGTCCATAGTAGTGACCTGACTGATCAGTTGTCATTTTGTTGATGCATCTTTAAGAAATAAGAAAAGAGGAAGAGCTGTGAGTGCTCAAGTAAAGCCAGGGTCAGAGGAAAACAAAGATAAGGTGCAAAAACTGGATTATTCAGGATTATGAGCATACCAGTTTTTTTCATGCATTCTGGTAAGACGGTGAGAAGGTTCTTATAATTTATTTTTCTCCTCTTCTTCTTCTTCTTCTTTTTTTTTTTTTTTTTAATTTTGAGACAGGGTTTCACTCTGTCACCCAGGCTGGAGTGCAGTGGTATGATCATAGCTCACTTCAGCCTCGATCTCCAAGCAATCCTCTCACTTCAACTTCTTGAGTAGCTGGGACTACAGGTACAGGCCAACATGCCCAGCTAATTTTTTAAAAATTTTTTGTAGAGCTGGGGTCTCCCTGTGTTGCACAGGCTGGTCTCAAACTCCTGAGCTCAAGTAATCTCCACACCTTGGCCTCCGGAAGTGCTGGGATTATAGGCATGAGCCACCATGCCTGGCTCAGAATTTATAACGTAAATCCACTTAAAAGAGGAATGGGGGAACCAGCCACCCCAAACTGTAACTATGCCATGATTCTGTAAGTCCTTCTCTTTTTTTTGTCCTCTCTTGTTTATATTTCCATATGGAATGAGAGCCTATGGCCCTGAGGCAGTTTGTCACAGGTGGCCACTATGCACTCAGAAATGCAGGTGATAGCATCTTGTGGCAGTTACGAGCATGGTCTCTGCAGCTGGAGTCTGGATTCAACCCTCACTGTTCCATTTCCTGGCTGCATGTTATACATTCCTGGACAGTTATACATATATCTACTCAGCACTTCCATTAACTCACCTAGAATGTGGAGGTGAAATGAATGAATACCAGTGCTTTTGTAGGGTGTTCGGTTCATAACAGTTTTACCAATCTCTCTCAGAAGCCTGAAGAGTCCCCTGTAGGATGCTCTGGGTGCCAGTATAGAAATAAAGTAGAGACCAGGTGCAGTGGCTCATGCCTGTAATCCCAGCACTTTGGGAGGCCGAGGTGGGTGGATCACCTGAGGTAGGGAGTTCAAGACCAGCCTGACCAATTTGGAGAAACCCCATCTCTACTAAAAAAAATTACAAAATTAGCCGGGAGTGTTGGCGCATGCCTATAATCCCAGCTACTACGGAGACTGAAGCAGGAGAATCGCTTGAACCCGGAAGATGGAGGTTGTAGTGAGCTGAGATCCTGCCATTGCACTCCAGCCTGGGCAACAAGAGCGAAACTCCGTCTCAAAAAAAAAAAAAAAAAAAAAAAGAGAAACAAAAAAAAAGAAAAAGAAAAAGAAAGAAACTAGAATTGATCTGTATGAAGTCACGCTGAATAACATTTTTCTTTTGTTTAAAGCTCAGTTAATCTTCAACTTCTAGAAAAAAGTTTGTGTTTGTAAATGACATCAGACTTAAAATTTACATCTTAAAATATTTTAGGCCTTACTCAACATCTCACATTCAATCATTGAACAAATAGTTATTGAATACCTACTGAGTGCAGTCATCATGTCAGGCCCTGGGGATGCAGCATCCAGAAAGACTCAGGTGGTCCTAGTAGGGAAGAAATCGGGCAAACAAAACCAAATAAAACAGCTGTGAAAGAAGTAAATGTTGTGGGTGTTGTGAATGGTAAAATAGAGTTTTAAACTAGAGAACTGCAAAAAGAAATGTGCTTTTGACAGAGTGATGGAAGCAGACAATTAAGCTTAGATCTGAAAGATGAAAAAGAACCAACTAGGTTGACAATGGGAAGGTGAACAGTCCAGGCACACCGTACAGCCCTTCTGAAAGTCCTGAAGTGGACACTGTTTGTCCTCCTTTGAAGAACAGAAAGGGGAGTTGAAGCTTGGTGAGTAGCGTGGAGATCAGGAAGAATGAGCTTGGGGAAGTGGGTCAGGGACAGATCTTGCAAGGTTGGGATGTAATCTGATTTCTGATTTATTTCATAAGAAGGTCCAAATTAGCCAGGCGTGGTCGCGGGTGCCTGTAGTCCCAGCTACTTGGGAGGATGAGGCAGAAGAATGGCGTGAACCCGGGAGGCGGAACTTGCAGTGAGCCAAGATCGCACCACTGCACTCCAGCCTGGGCGACAGAGCGAGACCCCCTCTAAAAAAAAAATAAATAAATAAAAATAAGGTCCAACTGGCTGCTGTGGGGAAATAATAGGGCAAGGGTGGAATTCAGAATTACAGTTTGAAGTCCACTGCAATAGACATGATGCAGATTATTGCAGGATCACGGACTCTGTGTGTGCGTGTGGCTTGGAGCATATATACCATGATCCTTATCAAATCATGCAGGGAATTCAAATCACCGCTATGTACGTAAAAATGAACTTATATAGACTACATATCTAAAAATAAATACTATAAACACATATTCATATGTCTTTATAAAAGATGAAATGCCTTAAAATTAAAATTATGGGATGTAACTTACTGTGTATTCAGTTTAGGATTATTTTTTCGCCTGTTAATAATGCTTATTTTCATGTATCAAGCTTTTATTTTTTTACAATTTCCAGGAAAAAAAAAAGCGTATTTGTTTTATCCCTTCAAACCTGCATTTCCATTCAAATTTACCTTCTTTATGTTTTTATGTAAGTGAAAATCTACATTAATAAGCATATCCATGAGATTTTAAAATGTAAGAGGGATAATTGTTATTGAAATGAATGTTGGGGAGACTTGGATGGAAGTGGCCAGGTGGAAGAACCTCGGCTGTATTCTGCTCAGGCAGTATGATTCTATTGAAATTTCAAGTCTCTCTGGGGATTTTTTCCAATCAACCAAAACTCATGATATGAATTTTTGATGGCAAAATTAGAAAATAAAGCGCCCTTGTCTTTAAAAATAAAATTTGAATTCAAGAAGTGATCTAGTTAGACACTTGTATAAACTAACTTTACATTCATGGCGAATGAATCTAACGTAGACAAGAAGTTTCACCTGGTTCCTCATTAATATGATTATATCCTGAGTTGGTGATGAGGTGGGACAGGTTCTGAACTTGCCTATTCTAACTAATTTATTTCACAATGAGAACCAAGTCAAGTGTATCCACATGAGAACTAGCCATGCCACCTAGGAGAAGTGCATAATTATCCTCAAATAGCCCCTTACCTTTGGAATGGGACACAAGATCAAATGTGAGTCAAGTTATTCAACCTGGAGTTGGCTTTCCCCTAGCCCCTCCCTCCTTTGTACAGGGCTAATGCAGACAAATGCTCTAATCCTCCCATCCTGAGGTTGGCAGTTAGCCAGCTGCAGGGACATTAGCTCCTCATTAGCACCTTGTCATCTGCCCACAAATCCACATCCCAGAACAAAGTAAAGTGCCTGTCCCATTTGAAGCTTTGGCTATTGAAAAAATGAATGCCAGTCCGTGGGGTTCCTTATGGTTTTATGAGTTAGGAGTAAAACAGAAATTCATGTTATTTAGATTTAAGAGATTAATGGCATGTTGGTCAGCAGATTATATATTATGGTATACTTTGATAAATTCAGATTTTAAAACTGACCTTTTATTTCCAAATCATTTGGAAATAGTCTTTTATTTTTCCTTTAGAATATTATCTTTATTACTAAGATAGCATTAGAAAGTTGCAGAGTAACAAAAAGGAGAGATGTTCTCAGAAGTAAGTCTGAAATGTTCTGGACAAGCACAGGAGTTTAGCTTGTTATAAATTCTTTGCAATATTGAATAGGTGAAGACCATTTGATAAAGAAGCAATTCTCATTAACACCTCCCTTTTTCTTTGTAGAACCTGTCTCATTCTGTGGTTGCAAAATGTGTATATCTGGGAACATGTGCATCAGTAAAAGCTTTGCAGTTAAGTCTCTCCAAATCTTTTTTTGTGGTCATTTCAGCCATCTGAACCATCAATTTTGGTTACTGCAAAAGCTAATCCTTTGGCTCAAAGCACAGCTAACGGAAAGAGGGTTGAGAATTCTGAATGTGGTGTCTTGCATTTGGTTTTGTTCCTGCATGTAGGAATAGCTGAGAAACATTTCTTTTAGTTCTGCAAACATGCTGTTACTCTCAGCCACACCCCCCAGCACTTGCAGAGCTCAGCTGTCGATGCAGCCAAGTTTGCTGTTCGCTTCCGATGGTGAAGCATTTTCCCCCATTGTATATCTTGTGCCTTACTATCTAATGCTTTAAATGCCTACTTTGATTTGTGGCTGTCTGTTAAGGCCTTGGATGTGCCTTTAAAAGGAATACAACTTTTCTGCTGATACAAAAAAATTTTAGATCTCAGATTTTCACCTTTGCCTCCACCCACTTAAGGTCTGAGAATTGGACAGTATGGAGGAGAAAGCATATCTTTCCCTTCTCATCTAAGGTTCATTGACTGGGGCCCCTATAACGAAACACAGATTAACGAGAGAAAATCACACATATGTTTTAAATGTAAGCTTTGTGTGATATGGGAGCCTTCATGAGGAAATTAAGACCCAAAGAAGCAGCTAAACTGTAGAGCTTTTTATACTGTAGTAGGTTTGATGTAGAGTGGACAGTCATGGAGAAATATAATTGGACAAAGGGGGTATGATCTAATGATAATAAACTAGGGGAGAACTTAGCAACACCCGTTTGTTCAGATTTTTCTTTGTGATCCTGTGTCTTCAGAGATAAGGCTGCTCTTTTCCTCCAGGTATAGAGAGAGCATCTCTCACATGAGGGTTTTATGGCCTGCATTAGGGGAGGGTCAGAAAATCCTTCCTAGGTTTTATGACCTGTTTTAGTGGAGAAAAGCAGGGGAAGGTCAGGGAGACCTTCATGCAAATACTGTTTCTCAAATTTCTTCAGCTTAAAATTTTCCATCTGTCAAGGTGCCATATTTTGCAGTAGCATGTCCTAAGCCGCAACAGTAACTGAGGAGTAATGGTTAATTGCTATATTTTGTAATTTCCACTTCAGCTCAAATTCTGGCCTGCCAACAAGCTTAGTTTCTTTTAGGGCTCATCTAATTTCAGTACTTTGAATCAATGCCAATCTGTACCTCCATACACAATAATACAAATTGATTCTATAGGAAATGATGCAATGATGAGATTGGTCAGTGTCCCAAAACAGGCAGCCTACTTTGTTGGAATGGAAACATTACAACTTTATAAGACAGGCTTATACATTCCAGATCACTGAAAGATTTTAGGATACATTTAATAGACTCATTTGCTATATGGAATGTCCAAGATGAGAAGCCACATTTTCAGAGGAGCAGGAGCTACCTCTTTCTTTTTTCTTTTTTTGAGATGGAGTCTCGCTCTGTTGCGCAGGCTGGAGTGCAGTGATGCGATCTTGGCTCACTGCAACCTCTGCCTTCCGGGTTCAAGCAATTCTCGTGCTTCAGCCTCCCTAGTAGCTGGGATTACAGGCATCTGCCACCATGCCTGGCTAATTTTTGCATTTTTAGTAAAGACAGGGTTTCATCACGTTGGCCAGGCTGATCTCGAACTCCTGACCTCAGGTGATGCACCCACGTCAGCTTCTCAAAGTGCTGGGATTATAGGCGTGAACCAAGCTACCGTGGCCGGCTGAAGCTGCCTCTTAAAACATATTGTTTGTATTCCTAAATATATTCAGAAGGGAAAAATATGACTATCAGTTGGGATAGTTTTATTTCCCTCCTAGAAGCCAAAAGGCTTCTTCCAGTCACTTCCCAAAATCACATCCAGCTCTATGGTGAGCCCAAAGACGCCATGGCACTTACTTAACTTTTACTATTTGCCATGTGTGTATGTGTTTGTGTTTGTATGTGAAGAGAGGAGTCCTGTATTGCTACCTGTCCCATCCCCCTTTATCTAATCCATGGTAGGTGTTTTTATGCTGACAGATAAAACCCAATCCCCTGGCAGTTTGAGGCTGTGTCTGTCTAACAGCAACTGCCGTTTAGACTACTTTTGGACATGGTCCATTAATATATGGTCTAAGTTATATTTTTATAAGTTATATTTTTCAAAAACCAATTAAAGAAACGTTAGTTTCATGTTATGTATGAGTTTCATTGAAGTGATGTTTATTTTGTTTACCAAGAGCTTCCAAATTCTGGTCCTTTAATTGTATTGTTTTTCTAAAGGCACAGCCCGTCTGGTATCATAGTTTAAAAGAATATTGTGATCTGGTTATCTAGTTTCTGTTCAGATTTATATATTGACAAGGAAAGCAAGATACATAGCATTCACATCTTGAGCTTTCAAATTCAGAAGTATAGTTATCACAAACATACTTCATAACTCAGCAATGCATAAAAAGTGTTTAAATAATAGATCGAGGTGACAGATGTCATAAACATATATGAAAGGGATAGAGTCAAACCTGGCAAATTTTGAGATGTGGTTTCAATCACAGTGTTTTTTGTTGATTTTTTTATATGATCTTAGGCAATTTTAAATTAAGGCAGGCGTCACTTTTAATTTATTGTCAGGTGGAAAGCACACTTATTTTGTACTCTAAGGATTTATTCAACTTAACTCTGTAATTGCTAGCAATATACAAGCTCATTATTTCACAATTTACTATATTTGGTGCCAGCTGTTATGGAGTTAATGGCAAAGTCGGAAAAAATGACATAAAGCACACTCTCAGGTTTAGTGCAACCATCATACATTATTGTTAAGAATCTCCAGTCAGCCCAGGAGTTCACTTTAGTACTATTTCTTACCATTGTCATAAGTTAAAATAAAAAACAAAAAAGATTATTTTTCCCACCAAATATTGTATTTAATATTTTGCCAGACATTCAACTTTGCCTCCCTTTTACTATAAGAGAAACTTCTCATACCTGTTTCTTTTTCCGAAAGTTATTTTTGGCAAAGTTACAATTTCATACACTATTTTCATTGAAATGAGGTTTGAGAGGTGTCTGTATAAAAAGTAAGAAGCAAATATGCTTTTAATTGGGTTATGTGTCGCTCAGCCCAGTATTTTTTCCTCCTAGATATACTTCCTACTCATATTTTAATAGAGCCTGTAATCTTAGGGGAACAATACCCAGATAAAACAGCATAACAACCCAATATGAATTCAACAGCAAAATTCTGAAATTAAAGAAAAGTGATTTTCCTGCATTACAAGGAATTTTTGGTATATATATATGTATAATATGTTACGTTATACAATACTCACATTGTTTACTATTGTTACTTTCACAATTTCAACCCAACATTTTAGGTTTTTTTCCTACTCAGTGATATCCCTAAATAAAGCCATTTTTAAAATTGAGTATTGTTACAAATTTTTTTTGGTTTGAAATTATGTAACTTCTTTTTGCTGAATATATTATCTCTGATATGCACAAAATGCAACATTTGATATATTTCTATAAATTGAATGGGTGTTAAAATAAGAAATAAGAAACTCTATTTTTAATTATGGGAATACTTAAACTATTCCTCACCCTCTGGTTAACCAATAATCTTTACACATTTTTGTGAATTTGTGTATCTAACTTGGGAAAAAGTCACTCTTCTTCTCTGTGTGACACATAAAAAGAGAAAATGCGTTTCCAGGAAACAATCCACTAGTAATTTAGTCCAGCTATTTTCAGTACTTAACTTTTGTACTTTTTTCTTAAGTTCACCATGATATGACATTTTATTATTGGTTTTTTTTTTTTAAATAGTCATTCACCAGATATTAAAGGATGCAGTTGGTTTCAGTTCAGGCAGGTTTTAACTGCGTTTTAATTAGCTTAAAACATATGCTTCCATTTATCGTATTACGTGGTGTACATCCTATCCCATTTAGCTGAGTATTGAGGACTATTGTACAATATTGTGCTCAGGCTAAAACAATGAAATACTAATTGGATCCAGTAAAATAACTGTAACATTTCCGATTCCTATTAGGCAGGTTACGTAAATTAGGCTAATATAAAATGGTGCTTAATAGAATTGCAAATATGGTGTGATGATACATTCAGACAGGAAAGACAGTGAAAGGGGATTTTGGAGAAAATCAAATACATTTGCATTACAATAAAACATTTCCTGCTGTGAGGGCTTTTGCAATGCTGGAAAAAACAACACTCCAGCACCACTCCCTCTTATTTACATAGGAATGCCATCCCAACCTCTTCCAGTTCCTATAAACAGTTGTCTGTCAGTAACAGAGAATAACGTGCAGTTTTAAGTCTGTTGATGAATACAGTCCTTTTATTATTTCGTCAGGCATCACATCTGAGATCTTTATACTGCAATGAGGGAGCATTTCTCTTTATATACAGTATGTCTTTTATGATGAGAATGTACTGTGTAGGCTTTAAAAACTGACTATAATCATTGGATTGGATTGATATTTCCTATTTGAGCGACTAAATGTCTTGTGTTTATTTCCTTCTCTTCTTTTAAATTATTACTCACTGGGTTGGATAGTTGTGACATTTGTATATACTTTAATCATCCTAAAATTGATTTGAAAATAAAGTCTGGATAGCCTTTTCCTCCAAGGTCTCAGCCCCCTTGGACTTTCTTTTAAGCTCGAATAACAGCCATGTCTGATATTTTAAATGAAGAAATTTGAGGAACTGACACCCAGGTGCAGAAGGGTAGACCGATCCTCTTTCTAAAATCCTTCCAAACCAACGCTAATTTTGTCTTTGTTCATTAGGAGTCCCCATGGTGAGTTTCCTTCTGTGTGTTTGAGGAATGCAGAGCACTTTCTGGGCTGAGAGGTGTTCTGGGGAGGAGATTTTTGAAGCTGTCCCTCAAAGGAAAAGTTGCCCAATGAAGTGAGGAAAGCACTACATTTTTCCCTTGCAAATACACTGATAAAAGAGCTTTCTGCTGAACTCACAAGCACCCTTGAACCTTTCAGTTTGCTCCCAGCGCTCAGATCCCAGTGTTTCTGTGAAATGGCAGAGAGAGAGAGAAGACCATTCTGGGGCCTAGCATGCAAATGAGCAAACCACGTAAAGGAAAAGAAAATTTAAATCCCATCTATTGTATTCTAAGCAGGTTGCTAGCAAGCCTTTGTGGAGCTGGTATAAAAATGAATCTCATCTCCTTCCTGGCATGAAAACTAAAAACATACTTTATTTCCTCACTCACATCAGTAATTTTTATGCAGTTTTATCTTCAAGAAAAGATTTTTGTTTTTCCTAGGATTTTAGGGTATAACATTTTCATTCATGATACAAATTATTTTATCTGCATCTGTGCTTCTGATTCAGACTTTAATCTCCCTGAGATGTTTAGTTTTGGAATTTGTCACTTTATTTACATTCATAGGTAGGTCTCCCCCTCTTTTAAAAAAGTATTGGAATTAATACTATTTGCTCAAAGGAACAGCCTTTTAAAAAGGCACTACGTCGTATGAGGCATGCTTTTCTAGTGAAGCAAACAAGTTAAAATCCTCTAGATTCAAATTCCCTTCACTTCCAGCTTTCAGCTGTAAAGCAAAGCATTTTCATCTAGATGTAAAAGATGGTAATTGTACAATAAAGGAAAGGTTCTGGCCAATAGGAATATGCTTGGGGAACGTGAGAAGAGGGGCACTAGGGGCAAAGAAATAGTCATCAGGCTCTGCAGTCCGGACTTACCGAAGAGGAACCCTCGACAACCCACGTGAAGCAAACTGGTCAGCCAGCCAACTAGAGGCTTTGTCCACCAAACCACGTAATCTGTTTAGCTGAGTTCCCTCCACTCCATTATATTGATTAGAAAAAATTAAACTGATTGATTTATTTCAGCCTCATTTCATGTAAGTCAAGTGTGGAAATTTTTAGATCTATTAGTTTTTCTTATTTTCTTTTTCTCGGTAAAATTTTTGAAAATCTTGGTACAATGTAATTCTATATCAGATAGAGGAACTACCCATATAATCTAGAGGATTCTCTTCTCAAATGACTTACAAAGATAACCTTTATTTTGAAATAATTATTGATTTACAGGAAATTGTAAAAATATTGGAAGTCCCATGTACCCTTCTCCTAGTTCCCCCATTGGTAATATCTGACATAATTTGAATACAGTAATACAGTCAAACTCAGGAAACAGATTGAAAGCACCTTATGATTTCACCAGTTTTACATGGATTCATTTGTATCTGTGTGTGTATGTAGTCTTAAACAATTTTATCAAATAACTTCTTTTTTAGCTTACTGATAGCTTCAGGAAAAAAATAGCAAAGTGGCCTCAACAGTGGTGTTTTACTAAATCACTCATTATTTCCACATTCAGTGATAGCCAAAAATAATATATATATATGTGTATATATATATACACATGTATATATGTGTATATATATATATACACATGTATATATGTGTATATATATATTTTGCTGTTGTTGTTTTGGTTGTTTTATTGTCTAATAAAATAGACTCTTCACAGACATAAGGAACATAAAATGCATACATGCAAAAGTAAAGCAGTAATTTGCTAAATATAATTATAATCAAAATAAAAGTCCAGATAATTAATATAATTTGATTTTCATCACAATGCAAACATTAATTTTTAGTTACACCTAGAATTATAGTTTTTAACCTTTTACATCACACGTGCATGCACACAGATATGTTTGTGGTAACCCTACTTTTATCTCATAGATCACTAATTGTTTATGTGCACATACATGTAAATAATGACACACTCCAATTACATAGATTTGTAGAGTACAAATGCCTTAGATCTGGGATCAGCAAACTCTTTCTGCATAGGACCAGATAGTAAATATTTTAGGCTTTGCAGACTAGGTCTCTGTTGCAACTACTCAATTCTGCCCTTGTAGCAAGAAAGTAGCCATAGACAATATGATAAATAAATGAATGAGTGTGGCCATGTTCCAATAAAACTGTATTTATGGACATTGAAAATTAAATTTCACGTAATTTTCAGGTGTCACAAAATATTATTTTTCTTTTGATTTTTATTCCAACTATTTAAAAATGTAAAATCCATTCTCAATTCACAGGCTTTACAAAACAATCTGGTTTTGGCCTGGATTTTACCAAGAGGCTGTAGTTTTTGGACCCCTGTACTACAAAATATGTACCATGCTTTCATTGATGTGTATGCATGCAAAAGTTTTCTCCCTTCTACTCTAATCTCATTCTCATTGTCACTTGAGAAGGCATAGACAAGTTATATAGTAGAAGCAGTTATGCTAATATGAGAGAAGGTTCTTGATGTAATAGTACAGTAATAGTAGATTATTTTCTTCTTTTTTTTAAAGTAGTTTAACATTGCATTAAAGGGAAGAACTCAAGTTTCTAATTTTTTTCCTATTTTCTTGTCATGGATATATTAGCAGTACATGATGCATACTAATTATAAAGTTGGCTGTAACAAGAGTTCCTCTTGTGAATCCATTTAAGAACTGATTGTTTACTATCTTTTTCTGTAAGTATAAAATTTTAATTATGCCACTGACAGGAACTGTGCGTGATACAGTGCTCTACATTTATCACTGGGAGAGGGCCAGTTGCAGAGCTGTTTGACTTTGGAGAAATCCTGATGCGTTTGCAATGTTGAGCAGCAGGTGCCACATTATTATGTACAGAAAAGCAATTAGGAAGCATATTGGATGAATGGGGAGTGCATTAATATTAGCAAGTACATTTGTCAGTGGTTTTGATGCGAGTCTTTTTCTTTCCTTTATGCAACATTAAGATTGTGGCTCTCATAAATTCTCCCCTTAAATTGCCATCTGTTCCCTTGTCAGGCAGTAGTGAGGTAGAGAAAAGTTTTCTTGACAAAATGAAAGGAATTTCTTTTATTTAAAGTAGAAGCAAAAGGGCCTATAGAAAGTTGCAGAATTGTAGGTTGTGCAGTTCAGCTTTGCCTGTGTTAAGTAATTACCTTTGAATGTAACATTAACCATGGAACCCTTTGATTTTTACAAGTCGCTGTTTTTTCCCAGTCATTTCATGTATTTGAAAATTCAATAGGAAAGAGTTATAATTAGATTAATGCAATGACAACCAGCAATTGGCCATTTGGATTAGGAAGTTTGAGGAAGAAATTGCTGATTTTTTTTTTTTTTTTGGTGCATCATTTCCATTTTTCTTTCCTAGGTCTATGTTCCTATCCTGAAATAATTTAAGATTAATTAATAGAATATCACTCCTCTTTAACTCTAGGCTATTTCTGAAATACATAACATTTAATACAATAGCAACTGAAAGAAATTCTCTGTACCATATTTACTATAACAACTGGGTATATCTTCATGACAAACTCTGATGTGTACTTAACAATTAAATCTTCCAAAATCTTCATTAACTGGAAGACACAGCCAATAAGTGATTTTGGTTAATTGAGTTTTCTGGTTATTTGAAAGGTAATATAATTCCTTTAATTACAACTACCTTAATTGAACCTTTTTTTCTTGAATATATTTTTTCACTTTTTAACTTTAGCAGTATAGGATATGAAATATCATGACATCTAGGCCTTCACATGCTTTCTCATTGTCATCTTGGGCATTTTTTAAAATGCTTTAGGAAGAAGAAAGAATTGCACTAAACTTGTACCTAATATGAAGCATAACCTAACTTTTTAAAAAATGGTTAATGTTGTTGTTTTCTTCTTTTCCCAAAAGTACTTCCTTTTTTTTTTTCTTTTCTTTTCCTTTTTTTTTTGAGACGGAGTCTCACTGTGCTGCATAGACTGGAGTGCAATGGTGTGATCTCAGCTCACTGCAACCTCTTCCTCCCAGGTTCAAGCGATTCTCCTGCTTCAGTCTCCCAAGTAGCTGGGATTACAGGCGTGAATCACCATGCCTGACTAATTTTTGTATTTTTAGTAGAGATGGGGTTTCATCATTGTTGGCCTGGCTGGTCTTGAACTCCTGACCTCAGGTGATCTACCCACCTCAGCCTCCCAAAGTGCTGGGTTTATAGGCGTGAGCCGCTGCGCCTGGCCTCCAAAAGTACTTTCAAAAGGAAAATTGAGTTAATATATTTTCTATTTGAGTTCTCGTTGATTATGGGCATAGAAAGATTGAGTAATATAGCTTTATGGCTGAGGCCTGTGAAACAAAAGACAGATTAACAAAAGAAAAGCATTCACATTTTATTTAATGTAAGTTCCATGTGACACAGGTTCATAAGGACATAAAGACCCAAAGAAACAGTTAAACTTGTATATTTTCATGCTAGGTTTGATGAAGAGTGGATAGTCTAGGAGGAATAGGATAGGACAAAGCATTTTCATCTAGATGTAAAAGATAGGATGATCTAATGGTGGCAAACTGGGGAAACTCTGCAAGGCCTTTTTGTTCAGATTCTTCACTATGATTCTTCACTTTCAGAGATAAAGATACTCCCCTCCTCCAGGTATAAAGAGATTCCCCTCTTGCATGAAGGTCTTATGAGCTGCTTCAGGGAAACCTCAGAAAATCCTTCTTAGTTTCATGATCTGCTTTAGGGGAGAAGGGTTGTGGTGGTGGGGAAATTAGAGAGACTGTCTTGTTTCTGCCATTTTTCAATATGTCAGGTGGCATAATATTTTGGGCTATAGTATCCTGAACCCCATGAATAACATGGTTTTTCCACCCACGTTAAGTGTTGTCATGCATAACGTAGCCCATTTACAGGTGTCTGGAGCCACAAATTGATAGTTGCAGACGTGAGGAAAGCTGAAGATGAAAAGAACATGAGGTTTGACTGAGGTCTTCTAGTTTCCCTTCCTTTCTGTTCCCAGAGTAACTAAGGTCAAGACCAATCAATTGTGACTCAAGCTCACATGAAATGTGTGTAAGAACTGATGCTGGTTTATTCACTTAAAATGAGATTGGGCACTGTGTCAGCTCATCAGCTTGTTCCCTACAGGTAAGTTTTGTTTAAAAGCTAAAGTTTAAGCACAGATTTTAGTTGGCATGCAAGGCCTCATAATTAGTGGATTTATCTGGATCTTAAGCTAGTGTCCTCAAGTTCAGATAGCCTTATTTGTCTCCACTCTTGGAACCCAAATGTTTAAGTATCCTCTACCATGGACAGGGCTGGAGATACCTTGAGAAACTCTTAATTTGAGAGTTCATTTATTCTTCTTGCCTCTTCAATTTTAGCTCAATTAGCAATATCCACATTCCTTTGAAATTTGAATATTCCCAAATCTCCTTAGTCATGCATAACTAAATCTCTTATGAGACTTTTACTCATAGATGGCTATGAGTAAAACTATGAGTAAAAAAGTCTCTTTCTTTTTGAGATGGTGTCTCGCTCTGTCACCAGGCTGGAGTGCAGTGGCACGATCTCGGCTCACTGCAACCTTCGCCTCCTGGGTTCAAGCAATTCTCCTGCCTCAGCCTCCCGAGTAGCTGGGACTACAGGCACATGCCGCCATGCCTGGCTAATTTTTTTTTTTTTTTTTTTTTTGGATTTTAGTAGAGATGATGGGGTTTTACCATGTTGCCCAGGCTGGTCTCGAACTCCTGAGCTCAGGCAATCTGCCTGCCTCAGCCTCCCAAAGTGCGAGGATTACAAGTGTGAGCCACTGTGCCTGGCCTAAAGTCTTATTTTTAGTAGGTGTTGTTTTTCAAGCTTTCAGAAGTAATCTTTGTTCTACATTCTAGGGCGCCCATTTAACCTCACTATCTTGTTTGAGTGCCTGTGTGGAAAAGGACAATCTGAGTACTTTTATAGTTGAATCTGGTTGTGATTACACCATGGCCTTTCATCCTCACAGTAGGCAGCTAGCTTGGGCCACATAAACAAAAACAAAAATCAAGTAAAAGGAAGAACAATTAGCCAGGTAATTTAGAGAAGCAAACCACAGCAATAAGGATGAAAATACCTTATCATCATTTGCAGTGAACTTTCACACGCGTCATCTCGTTACCTTCTCATAACAAACCAATGAAGTAGGCAGTGTTCATGTGTTTATCACAAATAGAGAAATTGACCCTGTGCCAGGCTTCCAGAATCATTCTGTAGGAAGGGGCAGGGCCAGGAGGCAAATGAGGATCTACTAATTCTGGTGCTTTTTCCTCCCTCCCAGCCCTCTTCTCAGCTTTTTGCATTTTATAAAGGGGAGTCTTTTAACTCTAGGGAATCCATTTGTAGAAAATATTGCCTATTTGATCAAACTTTCAATTTACTTGGTCATAGCAAATGGATCCTAATGTGTCTCATTGACTTCCTATCCTGAACACCTTTGAGTTTTTTGTTTACCCCAGGCTACGTGGAAGGAGTTGTCACCAAGGTGAGGGTAAAAAACACTGGGCTGAGAGTTAGGAGAGCTGACTTTTACATGAGTTTGATAGATACTTTTAGGTTAGTTATTCAACCAAACTAGACCACATCTGTAAAATGAGGGATTAGGACTTTGATATGTTCTAAGCCCCTTTCCGGTTTGGGGATTGTATGTCTGTCTCACATCTTTCAGGAAGTCCCAGAGCTCCTCACTGTTCATAGAGCTCAGTCCTCTGTTACTGGAGCCTCTGTATGTCTGGATGCATTTGGGGTGCCTGGACTCCAGTCCCAGTGGCCCAGCATACCAACTATGTGACCAAGGACTAGGCAGATGGTATCTCTGGACTACTACCTTGTTTCTACAACGAAAATGACAATCCTTACTCTGCTGGATTCACAGGGTTGTGTGAGGATCTAATGAGATAATAGTTATGAAAACATTTTATAAACTCTAAAAAGATAAAATAGTCCATGAACTTCAGTTAGTGATTGCTATCTAACTGATCATCTCTCTGTAGCACCTATTCTTCCCATGACCCACTACCGTTTTGTTCACTGGTCATATCTTGGAAGCTAGAGGCAAGGGCTGAAAAGCATATAATCTCAGCTGGGCCAGTTATCTTGGGTGTTAGATCTGTAGGAGTCTAGGTATTCTCCAATCCCAGCTCATTCCTGAAGCAAAAGAAAGCTCTATGGGAAGATATGTGTACATTGAAGCCCCTAGAAGGGAGGAAAAATTATTACTGTCGCCTAAAATCTGGAAATAAAAAGAAACATTTTAAACTATGAGTGCCAGGGAGCCTGGGCTTCTACTGGTGGCAAGAGAAAATGCCCCCTGCGCTTTATAATTGGATATCTGTCACTGCCTTCTAGCCATCCAGGCAGGCAAATTCAAACCTATTTTCTGTCTCTCACTCAAGAGAGATTTGGAGCCAAGCTTATAACCCTTTCTGGCATGCCTTTTGGATCTTTTCTTGGATTCCTTAATTATTTATTTATTATTATGAAGCCATCACTTTGAATCTGGGCATGAGTACAAAATGGAGGAAAAAATTAAAAAAAAAAAAAAAAAAGGAAAGTGTAGAACCACAAAGGTCAGCCAACTAGTCTCCAAATACCCCTCCCTTCATTTCCTTACTATCCTCCCCTTTCTATTTTCTCCTCTTTTCTACACTGCATACTCTGCCTAACTCAGCATCATCACCCACCTACAGTCAGATCCCTTTAAAGGAGTGTGATTAGATGCACATAATGACCATATCCAAAATCCAGCTGAATTTTTCTTCTCCACCCTTCTCCCCATCTTTACTTTAGTGACTTGCTTTGTTGAATCCAACTGCGGTAGAACTTGGTGGAACGCCCTTTGTCAAAACTCAACCACTCCTAAAGCATTTATTCTGCACCTTCATATTTTGGATTATTGGGTTTTTTGTATTTATTTGTTTTGTATTGATTTTATATTCATCTAAGTCCTGTGTATGGATTAAATTTTTTTGTATTGGTCTTAGTACTGTGTATCAGGGACAGCGACAGGTTTGTTCTCTTGTCCTTCTAATAGAGGAGAGCATTTATCTGTAGTTTCTCCAAGCACTTCTCAGAAGGCATGTTTGAAATGAGAAGAAAAAATGCCATTGATGGCTGGGTGCAGTGGCTCACGTCTGTAATCCCAGCACTTTGGAAGGGCGAGGCAGATGGATCACTTGAGGTCAGGAGTTCGAGACCAGGCTGGTTAACATGGAGAAACCATGTCTCTACCAAAACTACAAAAATTAGCTAGGTATGGTGACAGGCACCTTCCAGCTACTCGGGAGGCTGAAGCAGGAGAATTGCTTGAACCTGGGGGGCAGAGGTTGCAGTGAGCCGAGAATGCATCATGGCACTCTAGCCTGGGTGACAGACTGAGACTCTGTCTCAAAAAAGAAAAAAAAATGCCATTGATACACAGATATCAATATAACTGTCAGATGCTCTCTTAGGAATTAGCAACTTAATTCACTTCCATGCATATTTATTGAGAACTCTAATTTTATTGAACCTCATTTTCATCTCCATTTCTCCAATACTATGCTAGTTCCTGGGAATAGGGAAAAGAAACATAGAAGATAATTCATCTTTTAAAGGGGTTTTACAGTTTGGTGAGGAGTCTTAATACACGTGGACATTTAATACACCTGAAACATACAGCCAAATTGTAAATTTAGATGCAGAGGATAACGTCTAAGAAATTAACATTAGAGCCCAGGCATGGTGGCTCACGCCTGTAATCCCAGCACTTTGGGAGGCCAAGGCGGGTGGATCACCTGAGATCAGGAGTTCCAGGCCAGCCTGGCCAACATGGTGAAATCCTATCTCTACTAAAAATACAAAAATTAGCTAGCTGTGGTGATGCATGCCTGTAATCCCAGCTACTTGGGAGACTGAGGCAGGAGAATCGCTTGAACCAGGGAGGCGGAGGTTGCAGTGAGCCGAGATTGCACCATTGCAATCCAACCTGGCAGCAGAGCGAGACTCCATCTCAAAAAAAAAAAAAGAAATTAACATTAGGGATAATAAATAGATCAATATACTAGGGTTAATGGAAGGGACTTCATGGAAAAGAAAGGACGTAAATAGGGCCTTAAAGGACACATTGAATTTGAAAAGAAGAACAGAGTAGGAAGGGCACAAGAAGGGAAGGATATGACAGGCACAAATTTGTAGAGGCAGGAAGGGATGTGGTATGATTTGGAAGCCATGGCATTGGGCTTCAAATGGGACATTGTAAATGATGAAAAGGACTAGCAAGACCTTATTAGCAAAGATTTGAGACTGTAGACAGAGAAAGGATGCTGAAGTTTCGAAACAGAAGCATAGTGTAACAACTATGTGTTTTGGGGAAGTCTAAATTGGCTTAATATACACAGGCTAGATCAAGGACAATAAATGTAGCCAAATCAGATTGGGTTATCAAACTTAAGCCATTCAATTCAGAGTCATTTTATTTTAAATTTTTATCATTTGTTTTTATAGCTTGCAGAGCACTTTCACTTGTATTATCTTGTACACAAGTCAAAATAACCCAGGAAGGCAGATAGGGCATGCCATGTTATCCCATTCTATGTATATTGAAATCATAGAATCTGTGATGTTAAATGTCTTACCCAAATATATGTAGTGTAGAAGTGATAGAATTGGGACTTAAATATAGGAAATACAGTTTATAGTTGAAGGCATGCTATGTCACCATGAATCAGAAGAAATTCTCCTTTCTTAGGTCATTAAGTTGATCTTGAGGAATTTACATAAGCACAATATTTTACTCCTGAAATCAGTTCACTCAAGCGGACCTAGCTTCACACATCTCAAAGTCAGATTCCCTGCTCATTGCCCATTTTTTAGGATTCAAGTAGAAATATCTTTAGATCCTTTACAAGACTTTAAATATATTGACCAAGTGTGAGTTATTCTCAATCCTCTTAAGGGAACCACATTCTTTACAACTTAGGATGTTATTATCTGTTTTTATGCTGAGCCTTATTGTTAAGTATCCTAGCAAAGGCAAACTCAAATTTTATGAATTTGACTATGACCAGTAATTTTTTTTTTTGTTTTGTGATGGAGTCTCACTCTGTCGCCCAGGCTGGAGTGCAGTGGCACGATCTCGGCTCACTGCAAGCTCTGCCTCCTGGGTTCACGCCATTCTTCTGCCTCAGCCTGCTGAGTAGCTGGGACTACAGGCGTCTGCCACCATGCCCGGCTAATTTTTTGTATTTTTAGTAGAGACGGGGTTTCACCATGTTGGCCAGGATGGTCTTGATCTCCTGACCTCGTGATCCACCTGCCTTGGCCTCCCAAAGTGCTGGGATTACAGGCATAAGCCACTGCGCCTGGCATATGACCAGTAATTTTTTTCTTTAGAGAGCTTTTCATAGAAACATAACATTCATTCAGAATAATGCACAAATCATAAGTGTACAGCTGAATGAATTTTCAAAAACTGAATACATCCAGATTAATAAACTAAACAGGAGTATCCTAGAAGTCCCCCTCATGCCTCCTACTAGATGACAGACAACGTTATTCTATTTTTTATTTTAGATTCAGGGGGAACATATGTATGTTTTATACATGCATGTTGCTGCAAAGGACATGATTTCATTCTTTATGGCTGTGTAGTATTCCAGGGTATATATGTACCACATTTTCTTTATTCAATCTGCCGTTGATGGGTACCTGGGTTGATTCCATGTCTTTGCTATTGTGAATAGTGCTGCAATGAACATGCAAGAGCATGTGTTTTTGTGGTTCAAGGATTTCTTTTCCTTGGGATATATACCCACTAATGGGATTGCTGGGTAAAATGGTAATTCTATTTTTAGTTCTTTGAGAAATCTCCAAACTGTTTTGACAGGGGCTGAACTAATTTGCATTCCCACCAACAGTGTATAAGCATTCCCGTTTCTCTGCAACCTTGCCAGCATCTATTTTTTGACTTTTTAATAATAGCCATTCTGACTGGTGTGAGATGTTATCTCATTGTGGTTTTGATTTGCATCTCTAATGATTAGTGGTATTGAGCATTTTTTCGTCTGTTTGTTGGCTGCTTATATGACTTCTTTTGAGAAGTGTCTGTTTATGCCCTTTGCTCAGTTTGTAATAGGGTTTTTTTTTTCTTGTTGATTTGTTTAAGTTCCCTATAGATTCTGGATATTAGGCCTTCGTCAGATGCATAATTTGCAAATGTTTTCTCCCATTCTGTAGGTTGTCTATTTATTAATAGTTTCTTTTGCTGTGCAGAAGCTCCTTAGTTTCATTACGTCCCAGTCTGACAACTTATTAAAATGCTTCTTCTTATCTTACTTTTTTGAACTTTCTTTAGTAGAAATATATACTTTCTACTATATTATGGTAAAAATATATATTTTTTACTCTATGATAGTAAAAATGTACTTTCTACAATGTATAATTTAATTTTTAAAAATTTCATTGTTTTTACATTTTTGTATACCTATCTTAATACTTTGAGTCAAAATTCAGTCAAAATAGTCTTCAGCATTGTTATAAAGAACAGTCATTCGTAGGTAACCTGGAATGATTTTGATACAGCTAAATTTCAGTTTTCATTCCTTTCTCTAACAGTTATAATTTGATTTTCAGTGTTTCACTGTCTTAGATCTTTTTCAGCTTTTTTTCTCTTTCATTTTAGACATTGTCTACATACCTAATGATCATTATCACCTAGAGGGTCCTCATTCAGTTTGCTTTAATAGACTTGTCATCTGTATCAATCCAAGTCCAGGGAATTGGCTGTTTATTTTTTTCCCTAATTTAACATTTGCATGTCGATAGAAATTTGAGTGCTTGATTTTCTCTATTTAGTGTATATCAATTAATGTCCAATTATAATCTTTTCCTTTTACCAGTACAAAGCTTGTTATTACCAGTACAAAGCTTGTGGAGTTTGGTACTTTCTTTGCACTGTGATATGTCTTTACATAATAAATCCTAGAACAGTACCTATGTAAGTTTTTGCAGGTTTTATTCTTTCAGCTTTTGCTATTAAAACCTGCATATATGTAGATATTATTGTTCTGTTGGTTGTGACCTGGCTCTGTGTTCCTGCCCTTGAAGACTTGTGAATGAGTCATTTTTCTTCTATAACAATTGTGTTTGACTTAAAAAAGAAAATCTTGGCTCAGATGTCTGATTCTGACATGAATTACTTTTTGCTGCAGATTCTTTTTGCTACAGATTCTGTTTTCCCCAGATTCTTCCCTGACTCTGACCACCATGGCTCTTTTAGGTATGAGGTCAATTTACTACCTATGACCTTCGCTTCTTCCCTACCTATGATTAGCCACTATGCAGACTTGGCATAAAGAATCTCAGAAGTCCTCCCTAGTACATCAATTTCTAGGACTTTCCTTTTGCCTATGCAGACAGCTTTACTCTGATTCCTTTCTAACCTATGCTGTTAATTGCAAGATAAGCATACCCAAATTAAGGACTTGTAACACACAGTCAACTTCTCCCTGAGTTAAGGAAGGAATGCTCCTTGAAAACGAAGAGAGAAAGCTCTGCTCCCCACCCCTCCCACATTCTCTTTAGAAGGGAGCAAGAGAGGTTTCAGGGACTTATTTCTAAGTGCAACACTTAAGTTTGGCCTGTGAGGGGTAAATAGTCCATTATCAGGAAAAAAAAAGTCTTACCATTACATAGTCAAAAACATAGACAAATACAGAATTTGTTGCATCAAACTTTACTTTTTTCCAAGGAATCAGCCATCAGTCCATACACATCATATGGGCATCAGGGGCCTCCTTCTCCTTCCTTTTCCCCCTTTTTTTCCAAAGTCTTGTTCACATTTTTGCATCTTTCCAGAGCTCTGCTTCTTAGTCAATAAGTTTGTGATCTTCCTTCTAGATGCATCTGAATGGCAGCAGCAGGCCCTGAGCTCATTAGCCTTTGCATGTTATCTGCATCCTTTCAGGTGCTTGAACTTTCTCTCTGTCTCTTTCTCTATCTTAGGAATTCTTACCACCTCTTGTGGTCTGAGTTATTATACTTTATTATACTAACAGATTCTCTGTCTTTTTTGGGTCTCACCAATAGCTTCCTCCTGAGAAGGCGACTATGTGAGGAAGAAAAGTGGCAGGTGAAAAAGGGTAAAGAAGCTCCATATTGTCACATAAGTATTCATAGTACCTCTTTGAAAAGACTCCAGAGTTTCTTGTGCAGATAGTAGAGAGGGCAAGAAGAAGACTTAACACTTCTGGTTGCTTTTATTCTTGTAGGAAAAGCGGAGTGAGTGCCTAAAGTAGAGAGAAAAAGCAGCTGCTTGCTGTCACCACTGGGGCTTGGTCAGGGCTGCCTCCTGCAGGTCCTTCATGGACTTGGTGAATGTGTATCCTTTTGACACTTAGGTTTGTGAAGGTAGAAACAAGACAAGCTTTTCTCTCTATGACTTCTTGGGAATGGAGGAAAGAGGACAATTTTGGGCAAGACATTTGATACTTTATATAGAAAGTCGTTATAACACTTTTTCCTTTTTTTTTTTCTACTGGAAGTTCCTACCCTAGGATAAGACTCTTTCCACCAATTTCTTTCTTTCTTTCTTTCTTTCTTTCTTTCTTTCTTTCTTTCTTTCTTTCTTTCTTTCTTTCTTTCTTTTTCTCTTTCTTTCCTTTTTTCTTTCTTTCTCCTTCTTTCTTTCTCTCTCTTTCCTTTGTTTTTTTTTTTTTGACAGAGTCTCACTCTTTCACCTAGGATGGAGTGTGCAATGGCATGGTCTTGGCTCACTGCAATCTCAGCTTTCCAGGTTCAAGAGATTCTCCTGCCTCAGCCTCCCAAGTAGCTGGGATTACAGGCACGTGCCACCATGCCCGGCTAATTTTCATATTTTTTAGTAGAGACGAGGTTTCACCATGTTGGCCAGGCTGGTCTTGAACTCCTGACCTCAAATGATCTGCCCGCCTCAGCCTCCCAAAGTACTGGGATTACAGGCATGAGACACCTTGCCTGGCCTCCACCAATTTCTTATCCACACCACAGACCCTTCCCCTTGGAGAAGCATGTGACCTGTAATGCATCTTTTTTTCTTTTCTTTTCTTTTCTTTTTTTTTTGAGACAGGGTTTCCCTCTGTTGCCCAGGCTGGAGTGCAGTGGTGTGATCATAGCTCACTGCAGCCTCCACCTCCCTGGCTGAAGTAATTCTCCCACCTCAGCCTCCCGGGTAGCTGGGTCTACAGGCATACGCCACCATGCCTGTCTCATTTTTTGTATTTTTTGTAGAGACAGGGTTTCGCCATGTTGCCCAGGCTGGTCCTGAACACATGGGCTCAAGCAATCTGCCTGACTTGGCCTTCCAAAGTGCTGCGATGACAGGCGTGAGCCACTGTGCTTGGCCAGACCTCTAATATATCTTAGTGCAATTATTCAGTGCAGTAACTTCGGGATCCTTTTCTTTACAGCCAGCGAAAGCAGTTTCCCAGGTTTGTGCACAAGCATTATTTTTGAGAGTGGTTCATCAATTTATTAAAATAATTTATGTTTTAACTATGTTGTGATAGGAATGGCCTGATTTGGCTGTATTAGGAACTGTGACCAATAGTTGATATTTGCAAGATGACATCAGTTACATGTGCTTTTTTTCAAGATACTTCTGTCAAATGATTAGTTCACAGGTTCTACATCTGTTTTGAGCTTAGGAGGTAGTAAGTTTCGTAATGTTTATTGTTTTCTAATGCATGTTTTTTGTCAAAGTTTTACAAAATTTTTGGTTAAATTTATTATGTGACATTGGAGATTGAGTTAGTACTTCTGCTTTTTGGTCTGATTTTCAGGTAGTTACTCTAAAGATATGGCTAGTTCTACATCTAAAACAAAAAAAGAAAATTTTACATTTTCTTACAGGAGTATTAGAAGCAACACCCTTTTGTATCAGGGGTTGATCATTAGGGGATGGAGATGGGCCTCTATTGGAAGGAGTTTATGCTGTACATTTACTCAAGAAGGTAGTAGACAGATGAATGAAAGGTCCTAATCACCAATATTTGCTGAATAGGTTCTAGGGAATTATTACCTTAACTTCCAGCACATATACACACACAGGCTTCAAGCTGTAGCTGAATTTTGGTAGCATCTCTTCTCATCCTCTCTCCTTTTCAAGTTAGTCTGACAGTTTCTTCTTTCTAATATTTTATATAAAAACATTTCTGGTGAGGGACAGGCTAGAAGCCTAGGGTATTTCCACAAATCAAGATTTTTTCCCCCATAGCTCTAGCTTCTTCCACATCCTGTTAGATTCCCGGTTATAACATACCAAAGCTAAATTAATTAATTAGTGTTTAGAGCAGTTTTAGGTTCACAGCAAAATTGAGATGTATAGAGATTTCCCATATACCCCCTTGCCCTAACACATGCATAGCTTCCCCCATTATCAACATTCCCCACTGAAGTGGTATATTTGTTACAACTGATGAAACTACATTGACAGTTAAGGAAAAATAAAAAGCAGTAACTTATTTTAAAGATCATCTTGATTTCCAGTACACTCTTCATTTGATATCACTTAGGCTAATACCTTAATCAATTCTCAATCTCCGTGTATACCCTCTTGGAATGGTGTGCCCACCAACCCTAGCACAGGAGGAGCAATAGGGCTGTAGCGACTCACTCATGTATTAACTTACTATATCTGTACAGGCAAATCAATCCAATTGCATGGTGATATTTACCTGCCTAAAAGGGACATTTTAAAACAAAAGAAAATAAACATGGGGTGAGATTGATTTTAATTTGATTACTTCCAGATTAATTTGTTAATTCTTAGTAACAAATGATAGGAACAATCAGTGTTCTTGGTGCTATGATTATGAACACAAAGAAGACATACTCCTACCATCAAGTTGTATATTGTCAAGAGGGGAAAATCAGCTCATGAAGAGATGGTGATAATTATATGCACCAAAATCAGTGCTAGATACTCAGGGGCTTATGAGAGCCTGGAAGAGGGTTATCTAACGCTGTCTGAGGTTGATGGTGAAGGAGATGGATAGAAAAGAATTCCCTTAGCTGCTGCCTCCAAAGTTTAAAATAAAAGGATAAGTTTGAGCGAAAGAGATGAATAAGCTGGGGTGGAAGAAGAAGAGAGAATGGTATTGTTGGCAGAGCATACAGCATTAGCAAAGCTTTGGAGTCCAGAAAGAGCACTATGCATATTGGAGGGAACATGGAGCAGTTTAACGTTGCTCAGGGGTAAAGCATAGAAAGGGAGAGGTGAGAGATGAGGGCAGATAATTAGGCAGGGGCATTATCTGCCATGTTAAGGAGTTTGGACATTTTCCTATAGCTGATGTTGTGCTAGTAAAGTTTAAAATGGCACATGACAGACTTCCCCCTTTAATCGGACCATAACTTCAATTTCTTTCTGCTTTGAGGAACTGCAGGTTATTTGTCAACCCAATGGTGTCAGAGGTGTTTTTCCGCTGATGAGTGGACAAGCCAAATTCTTCAGAGAGATGCTGCTGCCTGACCCATATGGCCCACTGACAGTTTGACAGTTGACAGCTTTTAGTCAGACTAGACTCACTTAAGCTGCTTACCCATCCTGAGGCGAGCACGCGGCCAGCGCCCGGACTCCACATCATTCTGGCTGTCTTAATTGGGCACTAATTAAATGTTTTGGCTGGAAACCTCTCCTTGCCATGGCTGAATGGACTCATTTGAGGCCAGTATTTCAGGGAAACATCTTGTTAGGCTGATCAGAATCCCTGTTTAAAAGGAAAATGCATATATTCAGTTTGTTCCTTCCTATTTTGGCCTAAGGATTTATCTCTTTTTTGCCTTTGAGAAAAAAACCCTAAAAATTTAAAAGGATGTATGTGTATGTATATATGTATAGATTCACATGTATAAATAACATATATTCATATGTATATATCCTCATTCACATACACACGCATGTGCACATACACACACACACACGCACGGCTCAAGATAGGAGCTGATGGAAGCATAGCTCTACAGCCAAGAGGTCACATCCAAATTTTGTTTAAGCTAAACATATGGTTTACTTTAAGCTAAACATATAGTTAATCTGCCTGTGGCTTATTTTCTTTATTTGTGACAAAGTCACAAGAAAAACATTAGAATGTTAGCATAATATTTTAGAGTGAAAGTTAGGGATGAGGATAATTCACCTCGAATCCTAGGGCATTTACAAAAGGATAGATAGATGGGCTGAGATCTGTTTTCTATCTTTACTTAGCTGTTGCATGCTGATAGGTATTTCTTTCTCAAATCATTCCAAAAGCAAAGTAGATAGCCAAGTGTTTGGGTTTCAAAGGGCTATCTTCAGTCTACATTGCAAAGAGTGCCTGCAGTATCAACAAGGCTAAGCAGTAGGTACAGCAAATGCATTGAAGAAGAATATATTGAATGCACCAACCATCTTGCAGACCTTCAGGTGTTGGTTTTATAGCCATTGAAGGCATTGGAGGAGGTTACATCATTAACATGAAATAACAATTGTTATTTCTTAGGAATTCCTCCACTTTCTGAAACTATACCTCTCTTATGAATTTTGCTTTTCTGGTAAAATAAGCCTAGTAATGTGATTTTTCCCCCAAAATAATGATGGTGTTAATTGTATTAAACAAGAACTAACATGAAAATTGAGATTTGTGGAGGCTAAAATTAATTCCTAAATTATAATTTTCTATGAAGAAATAGAATTAGATAACAGGGTTTCAAGGTGATTTCTTCTCTAAAAAGGAAAAATAAGATGTGCTCCAGTTCATGTATCTTCAATGCTTTCAATTATCTTAATGTGTATTAATATATATTATATGTGATAAGTATAGGTTTATAAGAGAAAACCTCATCAATTAGCTATTCTTGAGTACCTTTGCATTTGGTTACTAAGGAATAACCTGTTCATGATCAACAGTGGTAAAACAGAGCACAGTAAAACACTGCTCTATCTGAACTAAAGTAGATCTTCAAAACCTCTTTGATGTGCGTGCTTCTTTAGGTCTTAAGGACACATTAAAGTGTATGTTGAACTTTCTAATATTCACTTTATTTAACGAGAAATGTTTTCCTTCCTGTTTTGCCACTGTCTTTCCCTTCCATATCCACTCCCCCCTCCTTTTATTTTATTTTATTTTTTGTTCTGAGAAATGATTATGTGTGTTCTTTTCCTATTTAAAATTTAAAGAGTTACATTTGGGAGAGGAACAATGTAGGGAAAGGAAACCCCTGGAGTGTGTCTGATGTGATCGTTCTCCTCTGTGCCACCATTTTTCCTCCTGCTGTGGGAGCGCTAAATGATAATGCCTGATACCTTACCGAATAAAGCCTGACACGGTTTCCAGCTGTGAGCATGTGATCAGTTTTTATGTTTGATTTTTGCACACAAGTATACTACTGCAAGCATGTCCACAAACTACTTCACAAATGCTTTAAGGGGGGAATTGCTCTTGAGTGAATAAAACATTAAACAAACACTAAGTAATTGCATGAAAAAATAAAAAACCTTCATTTATTTTAGAAAGCCATGTTTCTGTTCAAACCCAGACTTTTAAAATAAATTTAATTTATATTCAATGGTCAGATATAACCACATAACCAATCCTCTATGAATTTACTTGCAAGCGAATTTTAATCTGAGATGAGTTGTCCAAACAGAAAAGAGACTGTTACTTCCTGTACTTTGCTGCAATGATTAAATATGATTGTAATTATACAATATGTTGATTCATTTGTGAGAAACATTGACTAATATATCCACTATTATGTCATCTTAAAATGGAGTCTCGTAGGCTGTAATTTTTAAATCCATATTTTTCTTGAAGCAGCATATTACACATATATGATCCTGGTTTTAATGATATATTTTGGTAATAGTCTTAGATGTTAGAGTATTCTGTGTTAATGCCTATCTTATAATATACAATATATATTTCTTATTGTTAATTTGTTGATATTTATAAAAAAGCTGGCTATTCCAATTAGTAATTCTGAATTTAAAAATAAGATATTATTAAAACAAAAACAAATTATCAGATACTGTTAATTCTGAAATTCTACTGCTGTCATTTACAAGGTGTATGGTGTGCCATGATGTTTGTTAACATCAAAATTAATCAGACACTTCTTCTTGGCTCACCTCACTGATCAGAGGGCAAAAAGGCGGGGATTGGGGGAGCTCCTAAAGGAGAACACTAGCAGACAAAAAGAAAAGTAATTTTATTTTTAGTGATGAGATGGTTTGATCATTGGTTGTGGCTTAGTGGTTTAGAGATGGAAGGATAGGTGCATAATTTATAAATAAATGATAAGTACCTATACTCATATTTTTTAAAGCATTCTACTTCCATGCAGAATTCCATTTTCTGAATCCCACCCACTGCTTGTCCACCTGCAAGCACCAGACCGAGAGGAGGCCACTCCTATTCTCAGGCTTGTTAATATTAGATACAATATAATATTACATACAAGGGACAGGGATGTTACATTTAGAGAGAGTTAAGATTTCAAGTTTCCCAACAAAAGTAGAAAAAACAAACATTCCATCCTCAACTTTAGCTTTTAAAGATGTTGTAGAAGTATATGAAGAAATGGAGAAAGGATGGTGATAGTAATAGAATGGTTCTGCTAGTGATAACATGCTTGTTTTTAACTTTATATGCACCCACTTTAAATCCCCAATTGAACATTTCTAGTGGCTACTTGTTTTCTTGTAGAAATCTGGTATTTCCTGATTATCCCGATTATTGACAGAGTTTTTAGATGTGTCCTTACCATGGATGACAGTATTAAATCACTGTAGATATGCCGTCATCGTCTTTAGGGCCAGTCATTACTATCCCAAAAAAGAGAGATAAATAAAGGAGAGGAATGGCAGTGAGTCATTAGACCCTCTGCAGAGAAACTACTTACCAACATTGCTTTCATGAACTTTCCTTGTCAATGGGCTAGCAAAAAGAACAATGCTAGCCATTCACATAGACATGGAATTTGTGAATTTCTGAAGATTGGGGATTATTTCCAGTCCTGTTTTGGATTTTCATGAGCCATTAACTATTCTCTCTCTCTCTGTAAAGTATACATGCAAAATATGCAATGTTAAACATATTTGTTAAATGTATATATGTTAAAGATATGTTAAATGTGTTCATATATGTATTCATGTATTCATATATTCATGTATTCATATATAAACATGTATTCATATATTCATGTATTCATATATAAACATGTATTCATATTTTCTCATGATGTGTTAAATAGACATTATTCAATATATATTAAATAATATATGTGTAAGATATATCTGTCTATCCATCCATCCATCCATCCAACCATGTATCTCCTTGAAGTGTGAGATTAATAAATGGCCATATTTCTTTCCGTTGTTATGTTAGGACTTTACAAAATATATGGTGTTTGAGAGTGATGGGGAATTGGTGTGGGAATTTGCCAGGATAAATACTTCCAGGATAGGTTGGAATATGGGAAAAATGGCAAGTGTGGGAAAGAGTAGAGAGTTACCAGATATTTCGTAGCAATTGAGACAATCTGTGTTATGAACAAAATTACTCATTTGTATACTTCAGTTATTCTTCTGTTGAGTATAGATAATAATATTTCTTATCTCACTTGCCCCAAGCTGCCGTTCCCAAACAGCTGCCATATACTAGGTCTCTTGCAGTTTATGACATCCAGAGGCAGAAAAAACGAATGCCTTTTTTTTTTTTTTTTTTGAGACGGAGTCTCACTCTGTCGCCCAGTGGTGAGATCTCCCCTCACTGCAAGCTCCGCCTCCCGGGTTGACGCCATTCTCATGCCTCAGCCTCCCGAGTAGCTGGGAGTACAGGCGCCCACCACCAAGCCTGGCTAATTTTTTGTATTTTTAGTAGAGACGGGGTTTCACCGTGTTAGCCAGGATGTTCTCGATTTCCTGACCTCGTGATCGGCCCGTCTTGGCCTTCCAAAGTGCTGGGATTACAGGCGTGAGCCACCGCGCCCGGCTGGAATGCGTCTGATTTTTGTACCATTTAAAGAGGTGAAAAGCTCCCCTAGAAATCTCCCTGTAGATGCTCCCTGGTATTTCTTTGGCCAGAATCGTGGCACCTGCCAGTGTTTGAACCAGACACTTACATGAGGGATGTGTTTTTCTGAGGCAGCAAAAGAGAAGACATTGCTCAGTTCAGAACAAGAAAGGGCAGTCTTCTAAAGCTTTTTGTCCCGCAGTTTCAAATAAGAAAAAACCTTCTGACCCATAAGAGTTAGGAATTTTGTACAGAGTCATTACAAATGTTGTCATCTAAATCCTGTTTGATGCAGAAAGGTGTCAGTGGCTTTAAAATTTTTTCAGTTTAAGTCATTCAGAAATTCTTTCGAAGTATATACATTGATAAGACAAAAACAGTCTACCACCTTATCTCCTAGATAAATCCAGATTCTGAATCTGTTTCTACCACCGTTTCCCAATTAAACAGCCAAAAAAGTCATTCCTTAGAATGGATTAATGACCTGCAAAATTCCATTTAAACATAGCCATTCTTGAGTTTTATTAGTGGAAAAATACAAACTGGTCTGTGGTCATGGATTATTACAGATTCACTCCAGACTGCTGAATTGAACTCTGATGAACCTGCGACACTCTCCATTAAACCTCAAAATGAGCTTTCTCTTAATTGGGGAGTAGGAAGGGAAAGTAAACTAGTGGCTGGTAAATGCCAGACTTGTGAATCATTTCTTTATTTTGGACAAGAGTGTTGAAACGTTTTTAGATGTGCATGGAATTAAAAGAGAACAGGGTGGGGAAAGGAATTTATTTATTTATCAAGCCCTACACTTTTTCTGGGCAAATGTATGCATGGTATTTTTTAGACCTCAATATAATGCAAGAGGAAAGTAGTATTGTACTCATTTTTAGAGGATAAAATTGATTCTAGGAAGGTTAAGTGACTTGTGCCAGGCTAAATAATTAGTAGTGGCCCTAGGATTGAAACAAAAGCATTCTATAGATATTTATTGAGTTAAGCTCTAGCTACTAATATCTATCTATCTATCTATCTATCTATCTATCTATCTATCTATCTATCTATATAGTGAAAGAACCAGACATGATCTTTGTCTTTCTGGGGCTTATGGTTTAGAGGGGAAAACTAATATTAAAAAAAAAAAACTTCATGTAAAAATATATGTGATTATAAAGTTTGATAAGTATTATGAATAAAAAGTTCAGGGGGACATAATTTTCCTTGGAATGTCAGAATATGTAAGTAGGGACCTGAAAAATGAGGAACTATTATCTAGGTGAAGAATGGAGATAATTCTGTTCCCTCCAAGGAAATGGCCTATGTCAAGGCTCCAAGTAGGACATAAAAACTGACTGGAATAACCAGAGCATAGTAATTGAGGATGGTGTGATGAGGCTAGAAAATAGGCAAGGACCAGATTTTTATAGAGCTTTGGAAGACATGATACGGATTTAGATTTTTATCTAAAATGCAGGTCGGCCTGGCACAGTGGCTCATGCCTGTAATCCCAGCACTCTGGGAGGCTGAGGTGAGCAGATCACCTGAGCTCAGGAGTTCAAGACCAGCCTGGCCAACATGATGAAACCCCATCTCTACTAAAAATACAAAACTTAGTCAGGCATGGTTGCAGGCACCTGTAATCCCCACTACTTGGGAGGCTGAGGCACGAGAATCTCTTGTACCCAGGAAGCAGAGGTTGCAGTGAGCCGAGATTGTGACACTGCACTCCAACCTCACAACAGAGTTAAGACTGTGTCTCAAAATAAAATAAAATAAAATGCAGAGGAATACCATTGAAGCAGGGCAATGTCATAATTAAGATTCACAAAATCATACCTGTTGCTATGTAAGAAATGGATTAGAGGGGTTTCTTTCATATCTAGATCATACAACAAACACTTTTAATCATAATTATATGTTTCTAGTGTTGTTAGTTAAATGAATGAAAGAATAAATGAATAATTGGATCTGCAGATAAAATGTAGAACAACGCTTTAAAAGACAAATGAATTTTTGTTAGTCAGCACCAGAGAGAGAATTACCTACTAACATGGCTCTGAGAAAGTATTATAATATGGTTCTAAAGATAAAATTTACCTACCTCACATTTTTTATTTCTTTTTTCCTACTCTTATATATTAATATTAGGTTGGTGCAAAAGTGCTTTAGAGATTGAGCTTTTCAGAACTCTCTGCTTAAATTAAATGTATTTCCTTTTTAGAAACTTTAGCTTTCTTTAAGTTAAAGTTTCCTAATGCTGAATACCTAACAACCTGATAAAATTATTTTAGAGTTGAAGGAATCAAGAGCTCAAAATATGCCTTCACCCCACAGGTTTTCAAATTCAGAATGATAGCTGCTCAGTGTGTATTTATGTGCTTGCCAGTATATACTAGATATATTTAAAGTTTTTTAGTTCTTTTCCCTCTAAGCAGAGGCATTAATGGGCTATTATTGTTATAATGGGTGTATTGGTGGTTTATGAAGAAATTACTCTTAGGGGTATATGCATATTCACTTGTATATAAAGACAAACATTGACCCTCAAGGTGTCCATTTACATTTTAGGCTTTTCAGCTTCCTGACTTACAAGGGAACTATCAATATATTTAAAAATAAACAAAGAAATAACAGAATTGGAAGTCTACATAAAAGATCACCTAACCCACTGCATGGTTTGGATGTGTCTCTCAAAATTTGTGTGTTAATTCCAAATGCAACAGTGTTGGGAGGTGGAAACTAATGGGAAGTGTTTAGATCAGGAGGGCTTTGCCCTCATGAATAGATTAATTCTACTATGAAAAGGGTTTGAGGGAGTGGGTTCACTCTCTTTTGCTCTTCTTCATGTGAACACCCAGTACCTTGATCTCGGACTTACCAGCCTCCAGAACAGTGATAAATAAATTTCCGTTTTTAAAAATAATTTACCCAGCCTGTGGTATTCTATGATAGCAATAAAAAACAAACTAAAACACCCACCATGTTTATATTTCAAGCAGAGAAGCTTTTGTAAGGAGTTGGGCTCCTTTTTTGTTGTCATCGAGGAAAGACAGTGTCTCTCCCCACTGGTCACTGAGGATCTGTAATAATCTCCTTGAGAGCAGGTCACTATCTGAAGTAGAATATCATTTGGCCTTGTACACCTTGAGACCCCTGTGGTGATCAGACATTTGAATATGCTATCCTCTCTGTCTGGAATGTTTTCTTCTCTCCTTTTCACTTCATACTCATCCTTCAAAATGCAGTGATCTTATTTTTCTAGGGCAGTCTTCCCTGAACTCTCTTTTATGTTAAATTAGATTATACTATCTTTTGGGGCCCTCTGAGTACCATGGAATTTATCACAGCTGAAACTTTACAAATATTTGTGTGGTTATTTGATTAATATTTAGTTTGTGAGCTCCTAAGGTAAATAACAGCTCAATGACAGTGACATCCAGCATATATGAATGCAACCAAGGAAAGGCAATTAATATCTTCACCAGTTTCACAATAAAACAGTATTTTAAAAATATTTCTTTTTTTTTTTTTTTTTTGAGACGGAGTTTTGCTGTTGTTGCCCAGGCTGGAGTGCAGTGGCGCGATCTTGACTCACTGCAAACTCCCCCTCCCGCTTTCAAGCGATTCTTCTGCCTCAGCCTCCCAAGTAGCTGGGGTTACAGGTGCCAGCCACCATGCCCAGCTAATTTTTTGTATTTTTAGTAGAGACAGGTTTTCACCATGTTGGCCAGGCTGGTCTTGAACTCTTGACCTCAGGTGATCTGCCTACCTCAGCCTCACAAAGTGCTGGGATTACAGGCTTGAGTCACCATGCCTGGCTTAAAGATGTTTCTTATCAAGATTAAGTTTATTACAAAAGATGTCTCATTATTAGAATGCTATAGAAATTCCTTCCTTTTTTTACTTATTTATTTATTTTTGAGACAGTCTCGCTTTGTCACCCAAGCTGGAGTGCGGTGTTGTGATCATGGCTCACTGCTGCCTCAACCTCCTGGCTGCAAGTGATCCACCCACCTCAGCCTTCCAAGTAGCTGGGAGTACAGGCATATGCCACCATGCCTAGCTAATATTTTAAATTTTTGTGGAGATGGCATCTTGCTATGTTGCTGAGGCTGGCCTTGAACTCCTGGGTTCATGCCATCCTCTCATCTTGGCCTTCCAAAGTGCTGGAATTACAGGTCTGAGCCACCATGCCTGGCACCTTTCTCCTTTTCAAATAAATCAACTAAAGTCATGAAAATCGAAGTCTTTTAGCAGTTAATTTCAGTGTCTTGTCTGCAACCCACACTTAGAATTATGTTTTACATAATGACCGTAAACCTGCGAATATGAATAAAAGTTTTATGAAAAACTTCCATCATACTATACAATCTCCCACTGTATTGTAATAAAGGATGCTGATCATAAACCCCCAAACTGATGTACCTTCCATCAATGGGTTGTGATGCAATGTTTGAAAAGTACTTAAAGTGTTTATCTAATTGGGATTCTTCTCTATTACAAAATAGATAACTGAAAATTTAAATTATCTACCCATTGATAGTGTTACATATGCTTTTTTATTTTCTTCTTTATAGTATTCTGTATTGTCTACTTACTAAAATTAAATATATTGCATTTGTACTCAGAAACTAAGTTTAGGGAAATAAAGTTCCTTTTCAGTTATTACTTTGTTACTGCTAAAATATATACTTTTTTGATATTCTAACAGTCTAAATCTTTGCTTTGCTTTTCACTAACTTCTCAGCTCACACTAGTCTCATCTCAACAAAGATTTCTCTTTTTTGAATCTTCATAAAATCCTCCAGCTTCCAATTTGTATCTGAAGAGCTATTACATAAAACTGATTTCCCAGTACTTGTTTGGCAAAGCCTCACTTATATCCAATATTTAGATACTCTGAAGACAAGTACTGTGGGTGTCATTCACAATTTAGATTATCAACTTCTGGCCAGGAAATTCACTTTATTGCAGTATGTATAGTGCAAAGTACTTTGTGTTGTTTGTGTTTAACATTGTTTGTTAGTATCATTATCAACATAGTAATGTTATAAATAGCATTGTCAGAAACTACAACAGTCACTAAGATAACAGCCTTAACACCAGTGGCATGTACAGTATGCCATTATATTAATTATCACAATGGATCTGACAGGCTGCTCCTAAGAATTCACAGTAGTGAGTAGTTTATGATTTTAAACTCAAGAGGAAAACTGGAGAATACATCAATCCTAATACACTGTTGTCTCTGTGAACCTCCCTCTTTTTCTCAGTTTTAAAAAATAAAGAGGAAAATGATAAACTATTACTGAACCACATTCATTAATGGAATTAAATAAGTTGTTAGCTCTGTAATAAAGAAATGTGACAAAGAGTACATAATTTTTTTGCTCTATAATTTGATCATTGTCATTTGGCTGGATACAAGTAGTTCATCAGAAGGAAATTGTGCGTACCCAACAAGGTAAAGCTGTGAAAGAAAAGAGAATGTTGCATATTTATATTTATATTTCTAAATATGATTCCATTGAGAAAATATTTTCCTCTGTTGGGGAAAGGAATGGCATGTCATCTCTAAGCTGGTTTTATAATTTGGTATGTTGTAGATTCTGTAGTCATGAACATTAGGAGTGGGATAAAAGTCACTATCACTGCAATGTCCTCCCAATCTAAATAGTAAAACTGAACTTAACAAAAGGATATTTTTCCCTGTGGTATAAATTAAAAGTTGATTGTAATTCATAAAATGAACTTCTAATACTGCTTCTGAAAGCTTTATGTATACATGGATAATTTACTTATTTATTCCTATAGCACTGGACAGAAATGAATACTCAAAGTGTCCTCAATGTTTAGGGGTTCCTACAGAGTATAAAGTTATCTGTTTATTTACAGTTTTAATTACTATAAAGGAAATTGTTTCGTGGCTTCTGCCTTTATTTTTAGTTTCTTAAGGAATTATTAGATAAACATAGATTTCAATTTTACCAACTATCTTCTTTGATGGTCTGCTATTTGGCTAGCTTCTATCAGAAATCTATACTACCAATGGCCTTTGAAAGCAGTGAGTATATGAAATTAAATGCTGGAAATAATTATGGTTAAGCAGCAGTCTGAAAATACATGACACATACTCATTTGTATAATAGGATAATTTCATTTTGCGTTCACTTTGGTGTCATAAGAGTTAAACTTGGTTAAATAAATGGTTTGTGTTTTAGGCTTTTATTTATAACTGTATCTTATGTTTTATTTATAACTGTATCTTATGTTTACTTATTTAAAAATATAACATATAACTGTATAGGATTTGTTGAAGATAACTTAGGGTTAATTCATATTATGGCTAGTTTGTATCACATGGTTATTTAGGCAAACTACCTTTATCTCAGATCTTAGGAACTAAGTAAAATCTGACATATTTAATGTTGTGCTTCCATTATGAAATAGTATTTAGATAATTAAATTAAAAAGCAAATTTAAGTTCTTCATCAAGTCAATATTCTAGAGTTGGATCCAGTTGATCTAACTTCAGCTGTTGTCTTTAGACAGCGTGGCTGTCAGTGGTCATGGTCTTAAATGGAATAAAAAGCAATTCCTAATAAGTTGAAATAAGTCATTCCTTTGAACCTGTTATAAACAAATAACAAGACTTTCATCAGATACTTTTCATAAAAATGAGCAACTTTGTTCCAATACTCTTGGAAAATTCCAAAGGAAATATGCACTCCGTCAGATAGAATGTACATTATAGATGGCTTTGCCAACCTTACTGGTTCACAGATGGCAAAGTGTTAATAGAAACTATCATCTCAAGTCAAACTGTAAGGCCTAGTATTTAGTGTTTTAACTCAAGAAATATTTTCAGACTTACTCTGTTATTTATTTTTACTTTTTTCTTAGGGAAACTCAGGAATCATAGTAGTGTTCCTCTTTGCTTTTAATGTGAAGGGAATTTGAGCCCTAATTATGTTCACAGGACTCTCCCAAGATGATAGAGCTGGGCTAAGAACTGAGGAGTCTCAATTTCCAGCTTTGACCTCTGTGCAGCATCTAATATTGGCATGCAACCTCTGGTCATATATTTGTTCCATTAAAGCACTATGCTAACTGATGGGATTCAAAAGATAAGATGAAAAGTGAAATTGTGATAAGTGAACCCGTGGGACAACATGCTGCATTTGTTTTTGGCTTAAATTCTTGACTGTAGGGGAAGGGGCAAAGGGACTCTGATATTTCTAATGACTGCTTACACCTTCTTATCTTTTAAAAACTGTGCTCTCTGCAGTATGTAATAGAGTCTGTTTTTAAAAGACATCTTCTCTTGAGAGAAAACACAGATTCTTCCCAAATCCTCCAAAACCCTTCTCTCAGTGTTTGGTCACTGCTATTAAATAAAAATTTTGTGCAGTCTAAAGAACCGGGCAGATGTTAAAAACCCTTGTGGTCCCCACCAGCTGGGGGGTTCCTCTGTTTGTTATTTCCCGGCTGCTTGGCACGTTCCTGTGACATAAAACAAACCCCCATTATAAAGGATTATATGATGAGTCAACAAGCATGTGAAAGATAGCAACCAAATGGTGACTCCCAATTACATGAAAAATTACTATAATCACCCCTGCTGTAACACCCGTCTGTTGGCAAAGTGGTTGATCCCCTTGAAAAGCATTAAAAAAAGGCCTAGTGTATTAAATAAAAATCTCAGTTCTGTGTGTAATCATAAAAATTAACACTGTCACTTTAAAAAAAAACTAATTAGTGTCCTAAAGGGAAACCTACTAGGCTATGTAAAGTAGCTATTATGAAAATGTTTAGCCTTTTGAATGTATTTCAGACAGCGTTTGTGTTGCCAGATTTGTCAGCCAAAAATTCACTAAGCAGATTTGTCAGGGGCTGAGGCCATAATCTGTAAAACAGACATTGGCATAGAGATTAAAGATCAAGAGAATTATATAGGTTTTGTTACCATATGCCAAGATTTCTTTTTAAAAGTAAGTTTATTTTGTGTGGGCTGTAACCAGAAGCAAGCACTATCTTTGTTTGGTATTTAAAACAGTAGCATTTCCTGCCGAGGAAGGAACAAAACAGTTTCATTCACACACTTGGGGTGCGGTGGTGGTGGTGGTGGGGCGGGGCGGGGAGGGTGTGTGTGTGCAAGATGCTTCTGACATTTCTTCTGTAGTTTCTTTCCTCTCTTTCTACAGTGTAAGCCTCATGTATGAGTCATGGATGAAAAATCAACGACAGAAGAGCCCTTGGGTCCACAGTCACACTTTTCCCGGGGACTGTAGGAGCTGCCTGGGACACCCTCTCCTTTCAGAAGATGTGTCCCTAACTTGGAGGGTGCCCATATTACAGTCAGGCTTCCCATGTCTAGCCACAGATGACATATTCATGTCTATCAGGCTCCTCTTAAAGAATTTTATGCTTAGAAACATCAGTGACCCAAAACGGGCTGGGTGCAGAACTTCTTTGGCAGCTTGGCCACATGGCTCTGAGGAAGTCATGAAATCACTTTGAACAATGCATTCCTTAAATAAGAATGTGAATTAGGTGGTCTCTCAGGACCCTTGGCCTCTAAAGTTGTATGATTCTGTGAAGGTCAGACCTTGCATAAATTCCAGTACAACCCTCTCAGATGCAGCAAGAAAAAGTAGTTTATATTGCCATAATATATGCTGCAAAATTTAATAGAATGATGGACCGCTTCCTGAAAACAGTTGAGCAAAAGCGTTATGCTACAAAAAACTATATATGATGGTTTCCTTAGAACTGTGGTCAGTATTGGGGCAGATTTGGGTAATTACAACAGCCAAACATAGTAATGACATTCTGAGACATTTATACTTTTGAGATGACAGTGGATAAAACTCATTGTAATACTTCATAATTTTAGTAATATTTTAACACAGAAGCCTAGTCCACAGATATCCTGGGACACACACCTATGCACACACACAATTTATTTACCTAGATGGAAAGGAAGTCACATATAATTTGTATGGGAACTTTCAAAGGCGCTTACACTAAAGCTTTTCTAAGCCACTTTTAAATTATATCTTCATTACACAAATGGAATATTGCTCAAAGAACCGCTGACTGAGAGAAGTGGCAAGCAGTCTTCCCAGACTTTATTCAGTATTCACATCCAATCACATGGGTAAACATAAATACATCACAATGCTTATTCAAACACTCACAAGTTATCTATAGAAGACAAACTACCATATATTCTCCGAAACAGATTTTTCTTCCATTTCCCTTTTTCATTTTGCATCTAGTGTATTGACTGAAATTCATCTGGTTTTTTGTTTTTTCTTTTCTTGAAGCAAATTATAGGCCCCTCCTGGCTCCACCTATAATTTTTCACATTTTCTTGAGACAAACTACAACACATTGACACGAAGTTACTGGCAAACAGAAATTCTAGAAAGTATCCAAAAGGGGTTAGGAGTCTGACACTTGGCCTCCTGACCTGAGGGGAAAGTAGATTTCCGTCGAGGCTGCAGTCTTGGGACTTCCGCCTTGAGGAGCCAATCTTGGCCCTCATGTTCCGGATAGCAGGAAAGGAAGGGATATACCTGCGAGTGGTTTTTGTGCTAGTACAGACACTAGGGGGTGTCCAAGGACCAAATGTATTCCTCCTTCCCTTCAGCCTTGTCTTAGGTCCAGCTAACTTAAAAAGTGCAGGAGCTAAGGGAAAATCCATCCAATTAATTCCTGTCTTGTGCCGAAATAAATAATGTGGGGTCAGTTTCATCATCAGGCCCCGATTCCCTTGGATCTCTGGCAGCCTTTGTAATCTCAGGGTTCAGAGCTGGCACCATCCCGTATTTAAGCTACAGGTGATGAGAATGAGGTGCTCTGTTATCAAATGCTTTTTACTTCTGTGTGTGTCAGAATTTACTTGTTGTTGAAAAGAGGTCACCAATTTTCCTTTTCTTTAGTGTTTCAGTTTAGGTCTGTTCACACTAAACTATGAAGGGCGGGGGGGAATTGTAAGAAGGCAGATTTCTGCCTTCTCATTCTTGTGGGGTCCCATTTGCTTTTTATTGTGGATTATTTGTTAATTATTACTTATTAGAAAACATTGGCCCTTGCTACTGTAGACATCTTCAGGCCTTTGGGCATGGGTCTCTTTATGAATACCTATTACTTCTTAATTATGATGGTTTAATAAGATACGTCTTTCATTTTCATCTCCTATCTCTCTTCCCCTATGATTCTTCTCCTTTTGCTATTGGTCCCTGAGGGCATGTTACTGGCTCCTTTTTCTTTATTGCTCCCATCTTCCCTTTGCCCCTCCTGGTAAATTAAAAAAATAAATAGAATGCATTTTAAGGATGACAACAGTAATAATAAAGCCAGGAATTGCTTTCCAGCTAAATGCACTGATTGGAAGTCCTATTGAAAATAGCATAAACCTAATTGAAGTAGTCAACCCCTCCCATATAGGTCATGCTATGCTCTATTAAAATGAAGGTAAAACAAAGCTTGTGACATTTCTGCATTTCCCAGACTGACTTTTCCTAAGACATATCGATAGTATTGACAATAGTATTGCATTGTGCTCCCTAGTGACCCAGCCTGTCATCTTGTGGTCCTGGATAATTCTTTCTTAATGAAACCTTATTGTGTCCTTTACCTATAACAATCAACAGAAAAATAATTATGTTTCAACATATAGAAATAAAAAATTTGAAATAAATCAAAATTGTAGCAATTAACTAACCAGTAACACTGATCATTTGGATAATGTGGATGTTCAGTACCCGCCAATTGTGGCCTGTTAAAGATGCAAATACGTTTTCTAAATTTATGAAAATACACAAGTTGCTAAAGAAATGTCTGATGTGAAATTATCAGGAGAGTTGGGATTATATATAAGGAGTTATTATTTGATTTCATTTTGAATAATTTAAGTAGTCTGTCTTCAAGAGTCATTATTTGGTCCTAAGCTTTATTACTGAAGTTTCTTATATTCCATGGAACTGACTATCAGATTTGATGGCAAAGCACTAGCAGCTGGGAAACTGCTCTTTCTCTCCCCTCTCATTTCCCAAACAATGTTTGCACTGATTAATACTATGCAACAAGACATGACGCAGAGATTGTGTTGGCATTGTGTTCTGATGACCCCACACATTGTGTGCGCTCTGTGGTTCCTTTTGCTGTTCATAGTTATATGGGTTTATCAGAAATTACATGTCAGGCTCCCGATGAGTGTAATTGTATACTGATTGTGTATAGTTTTTTAAACCTCATTATTAGCCTTGTATGCAAACCAAATAAAAGGAAAGTTTAAAAAAGGAGAAAGAAAATAGCCTCCACTGGACGTCATGTCAGAGCCCAGGTGTTTGAGCCTGGATGCAGGGGGGAAACAAAATGTTCTCTCAGGGACATCTGCAGCAGCCATGTGCTTGAAAAAGGCCCTAATGAGTGGAGGGGGAAGGAAAGAAGTGGTTAGGGCATGGGGGGAGAGCTCCTGGCTTTGCTTTCTTCTAACTCTGTTCTCCTTGCATGCACGATTCATTTAATAACAAGGCAGGGAGGACACTGAGGGATGCAGTGTGTGTGTCCTCGTTCATTTTAACTTTCATTAATTGGTGCCCCCATGGCAATTTCTCTGAGTTCTGACCCTCTACTTAGAATCACTCTTTTTTTTTTTTTTTTTTTTTTTTTTTGAGACGGAGTTTCGCTCTGTCGCCCAGGCTGGAGTGCAGTGGCGCGATCTCGACTCACTGCAAGCTCCGCCTCCCGGGTTCACGCCATTCTCCTGCCTCAGCCTCCCGTGTAGCTGGAACTACAGGCGCGCGCCACCATGCCCGGCTAAATTTTTGTATTTTTTTAGTAGAGACGGGGTTTCACCGTGTTAGCCAGGATGGTCTCGATCTCCTGACCTCGTGATCCGCCCGTCTCGGCCTCCCAAAGTGCTGGGATTACAGGCGTGAGCCACCGCGCCCGGCCGAATCACTCTTTTAATGGAAAAACAAAAACAAAAACACCTCAACTATGCAGCTACAAACTCGGGGAAAATAGGCACAGGAAGAGTGATGAAATGAACAGTGCTTTCTTTCTCTTCCCAGGGCTCTGCCCTTCCACCCATTTACACCTGAGCAATTTATTGGACATTTCCAAGACAGTTATTATCCAGGATGTGCATACTTTGGACTCACAAGCAGGAAGCTCAGCAGGGAATGTTGAAGTATTACATACCAAGGACGAGGGACATTAGAATTAGACTCATCTCTAATGTGGAAAGTACTTAGTTCTCTTTTAAAAACCTTTAATCAGTATACAGTGGTTCAGTACACAGATGTTAGCACCAGTGTGAGGGCTCTCTAATTGTAATTTAAGTTATCCCTGCCTTAGGGCTCCCAATCAAATTATTAGACTGTTACAGTGAATCTGTGGCTCTTGGTTGCACCTTGCAAGGGGGTGTTTTCTGGAATGACGAGAAACAGTGGTTTCTCCTGGGAAGCAAATGTACCATTATGGACTTATTAGGTCCTTGATTAGATCCACAGCTGATAAGTGAGTAGATATTTCAAGAGAAAATATTGCAGTTTATTTCAATCTGCCTTACTCAGCCCATTGGGTTGTGGAAAAGAAAGTAAATGAAATAGAACTAAAGGAAACGTACGTGCAATTTTTTAAAAAAGTGGTTGTAAAATTTATTAATCAATCCTTATACATTGCTACTAGCTCTTTATGCATTAAAGGTTAATGCTTTTAAAATGTGTCTGTTTGTTTGGTGTTTCTTCTCAATCCCTAAACTTGCTTTCTATTGAAAATTTTCTGACTGGACTGCTAAGACTCAAAGAGTTAAATATTCAGAGCGACAATTAATTAATTAAACGGTCCTAGAAAGTAACCTCTCAAGTTTCCTTCCTGAAATTCATGTTGATCTGATTTGCTTTAATAAGTGACTTGCTATTGAACTAGTTTTATGTACTTTAATTTGAAGATAATTACAATACTATAATTCACATTTCAGATGCACATTAACTTTTCAAAAGATATCAAGCTAGATACCTCTACCTAGCATTGTGTTTATTTTTTAGTATAGTGTAACCTGAAGAATAATTATCTGGTTGTAGTAATATCTTTTAAGTTCTTTCTATTACTACGCATTTATTTGATTTTAATTGTAGAACCATTGGTCATATTGAGTTCATTTCCTGTTCATGTTGATTTCATGAATCTCTCCATTAGTATTCAATTGCACAGTAATTAGTCATTAGTTCACCGTGATGTCTTCAAGCATGTGTACACTTACATTCTCATTTTCCACTCAGTTTCTACAGTCATATTTGAATTTTCTATTTCTTAAGGAAACGAAGGCCATGATAAGGAAGACAAAAATGCTAGATGATGACTTGATTAAACATTTTGCCAAAAGGCCCCTAGTCGAGGCATGCAAAAGCTGGATACATTGAAAATGAAGTAAGTGGCAGCTGCCTAGCCATAATACTGAAGTCATTGAGATGTCAAAGCCTGGGATCTGAAGCATTTGTGATCAGAGGCCAGATAGAAGCTATTTAGTGAAACTTTAGCATGATGTTTGACCTCTGTGTACACCTGGCTAATTCTGATTAGAGCATCTTCAATTTCTGAAGAAAGGTGAAATTCCCAACTTGTTACTAAGCTCCAATAATGTATTAAATGTTACAATTTTAACTAACTGTTCGGCTTTACAGATCTATTTTTCTTTATAAGAGAAAGTGTTTTTCAAAAAAAATGTTGTCAATGGATTAATTAATTCCAAATTTGCTGTGTTTTTAGTTCACATTTTATCTGAGGTATTCGTTTAGCTCCCACGAAAAGTAAATATGTCATCTGTCATAGTCTGTCACAAGCTCCCAATTTAAATCCATTAGAAAACTGTTCTTGCTTTTTATTTGAGCTGGCTTCACATTGTTGTCCTAATTAAATTGGAATCTTATATCATTTAAATGTTAGACTTGAGAATGAAATTATTTCTGTTGAGGTGATAATGGCAGTCCTCTTGGCAGAGCTCAAAAACACTGCTTTCAGACTAGTTGAGTCAATGTTCTAGTTGCCATACCTGCTTCATATAGGTTTCCATTTGCATTTCTTCCCTAAATGAAATGAGAGACCCCAAGTTGAATAGTCTCTTTCCAAATAGATCAGTTCTGCAATATCTATAACTGTGCCCTATTTTTGGTTTTTTTTTGTTAGTCCAATTAGTACTTTAATTTTTATAACTTGTTTAAACAAAAATACTTTGCACCGTAGTGTGTATAATGCTTCTCAGACTAACGTGCATGTGAATCTCTTGGGGACCCTGATAAAATGCAGAGTCTGGTTCAGCAGGTCTGGGGTGGCTCCAAGATTCTGCATTTCTCAGAAGCTCCCGAGGGAAGCTGGCGTGGCTGGTCCATATTCTACACTTTATGCAGCAAGGATGCAAAATGATTAGGAGGCAAATGAGATGAATCAGAATTGGTATCTTCTCACCTAGCTCTTTTTGAGAATTGAAAAATCACTCTCAAATTGTAGAAGTTATAACAGCAGTTGTTATTTTGATGTGAAACTTTGCTAAGATGTTGGTTTTTATTATGTGTTAAGCTTTAACATCTATGTTTGATCCCTTTAGAAGCAACTGGCTTTTGTAAGAGGAATATGTGTGGCTTCAAAGTCACCCTCCTGACTTACACATACTCATTGCAGCAGGCTTTTTCCATATATTAAACTTAATATTTAGAAGTTAGCAGCAGGTATATTATTTCTGCATCTTTTTTATAGGAAAAATTACCTTTAATTTTTTGTAAACGTCTAGGCTTAAGAAATTAATTTTCATCTCTAAATTTAACAGGGTGAATCCACAGAATAATACCCAATAAGTTAATGATAAGGGATGCCAATTTGAGAATCATAAGAAACTGCGGAAATTCCCAGTAATCAAGGTGGTTTAACATAAATGTCTGCCGAATGTGTGTCTGTGTTTTATCTGGAAAACTAAGTTAGATCAATGAAACAGTTTATTTCATTTCTCTGGGCATGAAGTCTTGGCTTTTGGATTCGCTTCTGCATATAGTCTCAACTGTAAATTGCTCTCAGAATTGAATTATAGTCTATAAAGTTTCCCAAATCTACTTGGAAAACTCTTTAAATTTTCTCTATGTTTCAGGAAGCCAATGTGAATAAGAATAATTATTACCCATTTGTAAAGTAGAACATTCTTGGCCCTCATCTTTTCCTGTCTCTCTTCCTCCCTGCCTCTCTTTCTCTCCTCATTTTAATTCTTCTTTTCCTTCTTCTCCTTTTCCTACTTCCCTGTTCCTACACTCAACTCTCCTCCCTTCTTTCTCCTTTGCTTTTTTATTATTTTTAATTTTTTAATTGTCAATATTCAATAAAACCTCTTTCTTTTTTCTTTTATGCATTTGTTAAATGAAAAATCAATTATATCAGTACAGGAAGATTAGAAAAAATTCCAAATTATGATCAGCCCATGAAACTTATTTTTCAAACTTTTTTTTTTTCTTATAGCATGAAACCAAAGGAAATGTTTTATAAATTTCAGATATACCCTGGGAAGTTGGTTCATATCCATGAATCTGTTTCTGGTTAGTTAATATGTAAACTTTGAAGGAAATACTTTAGGAAAAATTTGATGTAACGTTATTTCAATTTTTAGATACAATCATTTTAAAAATTTGAATACGACCCCAAACCCGATGAAATGGATTAGGGAAAGATAAAAAAACAAAACAATAACAAAATACTTGACTCATCTCAGACTTTAGAGCCCAAGAAGGCTTTAAGTAAATAAGGTGTAGTATGTTTTATGTAAAGGTTGGTGGTATGACAGAAACAAGGTGTCCCAAAAGATAGCAAAGATATCAAACAGACCTTGATGGAGACATCCATCTGCCTCTTCCTACCTTTGCTACCTGGACAATTATTTATTGTTTCTGAGCCTAAGCTTTTTTAACTATTAAGTGAGATAATTACTAACTCCAAGTGTCCATTTGAATTAAGTAAAATAATATAATCCTCCCAAGCATGAATATTAACACATATTTTTTGATTTCTTGTCTCTGGAAATATAGCAGAAAACAAAATAGAAAAATATTTCTCATATAGCTTGCATTCTAATAAGAGATGAGAGAAAATAAGCAAATAGCAAATGTAATATATGCTACGGAAAAAAGCCAAAAAAAAAAAAGGGGAATAGGGGATGCTAAGGTGCCAGGTGGAGAGATGGTAGTTTTAAGTAAGGTCATCAGAAAAGATAGCATTTGAACAAAAGTCTCACTGGGAAGAGTGTTCAAGGCAGGGAAACAGCAAGTGCAAGGGGCCCGAGGCAGAGGTGTGCTTGGCATATGTGAGGAAATGCACAAAGGCCTGGATGGCCAAAGTGGAATAAGTGGGTAGGAGACCAGAGGAAGAAAAAGTCAGGGAGCTGCCTGTGAGGCCAGATCATGCTGGACCTTGTGGGTTATTTTAAGGACTCTGGTTTTTATCTTAAAATGATGGAAACCTGTTGGAGGTTTTGAGTAAGAGAATAACAAGATCTAATTCTGTTTTCAAAAGGGGAACTCCCTCTGCAGTTTGGTGTCAGCGGAGGTGTGAGAAGTAGTCAGATTCTGCAGGATTTGCTGTTGGATTGGATGTGGAGTGTGAGAAAAGAGATGAGTCAAGGACTTAGATTTTTTTTGGCCCGAGAAACTGGAAAAAAGGAGTTATTATTCAATCTGTGGCAGAAACAGGTGTGGGGAGGCAGGAAGATCCAAGTTGAGTTAACCTGTGTTAAAATTTGAGAAGCCTATAGGATATTCCAGTGAAGCTATGAGCTAGAAGTTCAGCAAATGTGTTGGTTTGGGGCTCAGTGGAGAGGTGCAGGCTGAATATGGAAAACCGTGAGAAGTCACTGATACCTTTTTTTTTTTTTGAGACTGAGTCTTGCTCTATCACCCAGGCTGGAGTGCAGTTGCATGATCTCAGCTCACTGCAACCTCCTCATCCCGGGTTCAAGTGATTCTCGTGCCTCAGGCTCCCGAGTAGCTGGGATTTCAGGTGCCTGCCATCACACCCGACTAATTTTTGTGTTTTTAGTAGTGACAGGGTTTTACCATGTTGGCCAGGCTGGTCTGGAACTCCTGACCTCAAGTAATTAGCCTCGCCTTGGCCTCCCAAAGTGCTGGGATTACAGGCTTTGAAAAGATATGTTTCCAGGGCGATGTGGGAAGGAGAGCACTTGTTACACAGTAGGTGTTTAACAAACACGAGTTGTCCTACTTTTCTCTTTTTCTTTCACCTTCTGACTGACAGTCTCATGCCATTTTTTTATAGATAGCTAGATATAAGTAGGGTCCAGATAGTAAATTATTTGTTACGTGCATGTGTGTTAGTCTGTTCTCACGCTGCTAAAAAAGACATACCCGAGACTGGGTAATTTATAAGGAAAAAAAGGTTTAATGAACTCGTAGTTCCACGTGGCTGGGGAGGCCTTACAATCATGGCTAAAGGTGAAGGAGGAGCAAGGGCACATCTTACATGGTGGCAGGCAAGAGCTTGAGCAGGGGATCTGCCCTTTATAAAACCTTCAGATCTCATGAGACTTATTCACTATCACATGAACAGCATGGGAAAAACTTGCCCCTATGATTCAAATACCTCCCACTGGGTCCTGTGGAAATTATGAGAGCTACAATTCAAGATGATATTTGGGTGGGGACACAGTCAAACCATATTACCATGTGATTATGTGTTTACTTCATTTCTTCTAAAGACTTGTCATTCTGTATCTATTGGCTGTAGTCTCTGTTTCTTGATTTAAAATAGTTTCGGAGCATACCTTCACTTGAACTAAGCCATATCTTATATTTTCTGTCCTCATGAGTATACCGTAATTCTTGTCTTCACAAGTGTTTATTAATAGACCATCTGGATTGCAGGGTGCTATTATGTAAGCAAGTTAAGCAAACTTGATGGACCTTTAGCTCTTTGCCCTTGAAGAACATTTAACCTCATGCTAATAGGCTCATAACCAACAGGCTATTTAGATGCTTAAATAAACACTGAAAAAAATGCACACAGTTTACAAAAAAAGTCTAATATTGACAGGTGCAAGCGATATTTTAAGATTTTTTAAAATGTGTTGATCAGCATAGCGAATGATAGAATATTAGACCATCTGGAGATTCTTTACCTATTGAATTATTAGAAATGTAATAATATTCAGTTTTGCTTCTCTCTGTTGACATTGTTTTCCCATGTGGCATCCATGTTGGCCCATGTGAGTGGGTTTGTAGCATGCATATGTTTTCATTTTACTTATTGATTTCAGAGCTTTTGTGTTCAGCATGTCTCTATATCCATCCTTTACATGTGGCCCACTCACATTTCCCCAGTTCAGAAGGAGCACAAAGCTCAGGGTGTCATGATTATTTGCTAATGAAGCATTTAGCCTGGAAATTTGCCCTCAGGAAAACAGAGCACACTGATTGGAATCATGTTTTTGATGAAACCTTTTGTTGAGTGAAACTAATTTCTCTTTAATGAACATCTATATGTATTGGTTTATTTATTCTACAAGTGTTAATTTTCCTGTCCTGTAGTTACGTAGAGAGTGCTGCTTGAAAACACAATATATAGTCATGCATAGTAATCATTTATTACTTTATAAAACACTTATGGTCCTAGAAGAAACTCCTTTGTTAAAAGAATCAGATTCTTTTAACAAAATAGTGTAAGGTTATATATTACATTAGATAGTGGGATTATATTATCTTTGTCAATTTTTATTTAAAACTTTAAAAGTGATTTTAGGGCATCTTCTTTTCTGATACAAATCAAATTAATTATATCTAGAATTCTATTTCTAATCAAAGGAAGCTTCTCAGAAAAACTAAAACTGCTCACCTTGCCTTATGACCTCATTCTAGTCAGGATAGCCTGATGGTTGTAACAAAAAGTCTAAATTCACCACGGGATAACACAACATGGCAAAGTTTTGTTACTCCTTGATGTAGTCCAATTATAATAGAATGCGGGGAGGGGTGCTTCCCTTCTCTGTCATTTAGGGACCCACATTCTTTCCACCCAGTGGTCTATCCCACCCTGTCTCCCGAAGACTCAGTGTTCTTGGCGGGATCCTTTCTATCCTGACAGTGAGGATAGACAACAAGGAAATAGCATGGTGGACTGGTAAGAGTTTTTAGATGCCAGGCCTAGAAATAGCACCTTTCATTTCTGTATATGCAGATACCTATCTGCTTGGCTAGAATTCAGCTATGTGGCTCTATCTAACGGCAGGAGTAGCCCAGAAAGGTGGTTTAGTTGGGTGCCAAAAAGAGGTGAATACAGATATGTCTGAGTCTTAGCAATCTGCCACAGACCCTATTAAATTAGAAACCAGAAACACAGTGGTGGACCTCTCCCCATTCTGCTATTTTCTCTTAATGATACTGCTTCCTCCACCTCTGTTCTCTTCTGCTATTTACCAAATTATATAAACTGTGAAATGGGAAGGAATTGCACACTAACCTAAAACAAAGAAAATAAAATTATTTTTATTTAGGAAAATATAACATATATTGGTCTCTTAACATTTGCTTTGAAGATTAATCTCAGTACAGCAGGTCCTTGAATAACATTTTGTTCAACATTATTTCGTTATAATGTTGATGAGAAAAAAAAAAATGGATTCCTATCCGGGACCACTGTCTGTGTGGAGTTGCATGTTCTCCCCTTGCCTGTGAGGGTTTTCTCCAGGTGCTTGTTTCCTCCACATCTGAAAGCTGTGCACATGTGGAGAATGGATGTGTCTAAGTGGTCCTGATGTGAGCGAGTGTGGGTGTGTATGTGAGTGCGCCCTGCCGTGGGATGGCATCCTGGCCAGTGCTGGTTCCTGCCACGCCCCCTGAGCTGCTGTGATGGGCCCTGGCCATCTGTGACTCTGAACTGGAATAAGCAGATAAATCATTATCTTACTTGTTTTTATTTTTTCTTAAATGTTTGTAGAACTCACATTTCTTTCCATGTTTAATATTAGAAGTGTTTTGGGGATTTATTTAGAAGTTAGCTGATGTTTTGTGACCAGAAATATGCTGTAGGAACTTAACTCTTGTTTTTTATCAATTAGCCTGTGGTAAAGTTGGTTTCATTATATATCATTTTACTTGAAGTTGATGTTTCCAAGAACCTATCCATAAAGTTATGTGAGGACTTACTGTATTTAGCTTGTGTTTCCCTGTATCACAGGCTGACATCTATTAAAAATAAGCTCCAGCGTACCATGCAGCCTTGTGGAATTCTGAGAAGGACATTCTGGTATAAAGTTCTATTGTGTTCCTTAGTGAAAATAGACCTGGAATTAAAATTGATTGAACAGCTACTATGTAGGTACCCTGGTAAGCCCTTTACAAATATTTATCTTATTTACTCCTCAAAACAACTTCACAACTCTGTGATTTGGGGATTATCCCTTATGTGGAAGGAGAGGAAACTGCTTTGACTAAAATACAGATCTCTTTGGCTATAAAACCTGTGCACTTGCCACAACAAGGGTGTTCATTGAATGATCCTCTCCTCCCCACCCTCCATCTCCAGGTTTCTTCAGTGGTTTAAGGCCCTATGCAAAGTCCGTATTTGACAATGTAGACTGAAGTAATTGGTTACCAAAACCATCAAATCTACTAAGTATAGACAGGCTGAGCCTGTAGTCAAACCAGTGTACTCAAACCAGGGATTAGAAAAACAGCTGAAAAACAGATTGGGAAGTCCTATAAACATAGAAAAAGATCACAGATATTCTGCTTATTTTTAACTAATTACCTTAAAAGATAATTAAGAAAAATGAAGTTAGTGCTGTTTTCCTAAATATTGGGCTCTTTTTCCAATTGATTTTTTTCTTCTCTTTTCTTCTCTTTCTCTCTGACTTATGTTCTCTATCACTGCTGACAAAAGAAACAAAAAGAAAAAAGGAAATAATGGAAAAGATTACTTTTTCCTTTCTCATGGACTCCAAATAAAATGGACATGGTATTAACTCCTATAATGATTTGCTCTTTGCTTCCATCTGCATATCTGATCTAATTATACTAATAAAAGAAGAAGGCAAAGGGAGATATTATACTAACAAGTGAAGTTTTTAACTTGCACAAGAAACATTTATTCCCTCTGCTCTCCACTCCCCTTTAAACAGCTATTTTGCATCCCTTGATGCACAGCAGGGGGAGTGGCATTTGCCACCCCATGGCAAAATGGATCTGCATGCCTCTGTACATAAAACTGGTCCATGTGTGATTTAGCTTTGCGTTGTATTGTGTTTTTTATACTAATATAATATTGTTCTAGTGCTTGCCCCTGATTAAAGAAATACATAAATAAATAATTTATAATTTAATTAATAAGGTATAATATGCAAAGCACAGTAATTTCAAACAGCTTGTAATGTCTCTAATGTACTTTCAATTTTTTATTTTACATAAGGGCTATATTCATTATGTGGTTATGATAAACATACTAATGAATTTTATTACAGGAACAAATTTAAACATGTAAATGAGATCAAATAGTATTAAAATGCAAACGATGGTGAAACTTATTACAAACTAACCTTGCCAACACACATGGAATGATGTTATTTTAAAACTTTGCAAGTTGTATCCCTTAAACAAAGACAATGCCTTTTACAATGTCCCTGAACATAAGAATTTGTGAACTGCATGCTTTATTCTCATATGAACTCCCCAACCAAAAAAAAAAAAAAAAAGTTAACTAGAATCCAGGGTTTGCATGTAACTTTGGATGACAATTAAAATCCCTTTTCTTGTTCCAGTGAACAGTAATCTATGCATAATTACATTCAAATGAGATATTAGCATTTTTTGTGCTTACTCTTTGTTAATTGCAGAGTTCACTCACCATGGTGATGCTTTTGATGGAATCAGGCAACCTTATTGACCTGATGCCGTAAGGCGTGTTGGGAAATTCTGCTGTATTCTTCATTTTTTTTTTTATTTTGGCATTTTGAGGAGTCCTGCTGCTTTTATTACATTCCTGACACTTTTGTTAATAAATCATTGCAAAGTTAATGAAAATTGCATTGAGGCATATCCAAAATAATTGTGTCCTTTGTCATGCTAATAAATTGAAAGATGTTGATCCAATGGGCGAATGCATGCCCATTATGGAGAAGTTTGTGATATGGTTGCCTGTTGCATTTACACTTTTTCCTTGGCATATCATTCCATGTAAAATGTGAAAGAGGAAAACCTCAATATGTTTTATTTCATATTTTATGCAATGAGCCTTTAATTAAGTCAGCAAATCGGCAAATTATATCTACATGGAAAGATAGAAGTATTTGTATTATGATTTATGAAAGGTTGTTAATATCAATAGGCATCAGCAACAGTCTAATGTCAGACTCATGAAAACATAAAAACCATGTTTAACTGACCTTTCTCTTATGCCTAGGAATTTTGCGCCACATTTATATATGACCCACTTGATTTAAAAATCACAGTAATAACCGACCATTCATTTCCCAAGGCTCCTCCTATACTAATTTAGGAAGAAAGTGAAGAAATGTGACTTTTATTTAAAAAAATGGTCTTTTTGGCAAAGCATTAGGTCTTTTCATTCACTAAGCCTTAAGTGTGTAAGGGTGCAAGTGAGTGTGTTTGAGGGACGAAAACATAGTCACACTCATACACACTGTGAAGCAGGTTTGACTGTTCTAGGTGAGGAAGAATATTCAGTTCAGAAAAATTTAAACTCATATTAGATTGCATATATATATATATATATATATATATATGTATGTATGTGTTTTTTTTAATTTATCTCAAGGAAGAACTCCAAGTAATTGTTGTCTTGGGGAGTTCTTAATTTATGCACTAGACCATCATGCTGATTTTAGGTAGGTATTTATTCTGCTATTCAATCAAAAAGCATAGTTTCCATAACAACTGCCACATCAGATGAAACGTACAGCTTGGCATTTGAAATACAGGACTTCTTAGGAGATATGCTTCCTGACATATTGTGTTGAACTTGTGTTCCTTTCATTCTCTTTTAAGCTAGCAAGATCTGTGTTTCTATAAAGGACCATCGCAGTTTTGCATAATTATTACAATCCATCTGCACATTTCCAGGATTTATATTAAAGTAATTAAAGCCATTTTGTATTAGTGGGTGCTGTGTGGAAGCGGCTTGGATGCAGGATTCTAAAAGTTCCCACTTGCCTGCTTGCTGTGCTGTAATTTGGAGAACAGAATGTTCCGTAAATGAGGTTTGGGAATACTACATTTTTTTTCTTTCTTTTCTTTGCAAAGTTACTTTTTTTCCTCCAGTGGAAAATGGAATAAAAGGTTCACCTAGGGACTGGAATTAATGTAGTCCTTCTGCCTAGGGTTAAAAAAGAGCAAAATCACAGCTAGCAACATTGTGCAAACCCTAATATATTTAGCTTTTTCTATGAAGAAATAATAAGCCTGTGTTTCTAAGGCAACTTTCTTCCAAGGAGCAGCAAGCAATTTAATTTATATTCTCATTTTCCCCAGCTGTATTTGTTCAAGATAAATGAGGGCTAATATTATTAACCCCATTTTGTGGATGGGATGATTGAGGCAGACAGATAATGTTGTAGAGAGCAGATAATAAGGAAGATAATGTTGTACTGGGCAGTGCGGAGACGCACCTCGGCAGGAGTAATAACTAATACCTATTATATCAGACCCACTGAAAGAACTGAAAGTGCGATACTGCATTTGCTGAGAAAAATCGTGTAAGTTCCATATACTTTCAAATGGCTAGTTTGGGATAGACTTACCACTTCTGGCTTAGGCATGAATCCTTGGCATCTCTGTTGAGGTTTGCAAGGCTGTTTGATTCTTAGCATTCAGGATCTGCTTCACAGGAATCTGCGATTCTTCTGGGTAGGCCACAGGAAAGCTCCGAGGAGACCATAGTATCCAATTAAGAAGGCAGCATTCTTTTATATATATATATATAAAATATATATATAATATATATAATATATAATATATAAAAATATATAATGTATATAATATATATATAAAATATATAATGTATATAATATATATAAAATATAATATATAATATATAATATGAAAATATATAATATATAAAATATATATAATATATAATATATTATATAATATATAATATATAATATATAATTAATATATATAATATATATAATATATAATATATATAATATATAATATATAAATATAATATATATAATATATATATTTTTATTATACTTTAAGTTCTAGGGTACATGTGCACAACGTGCAGATTTGTTACATATGTATACATATACATGTTGGTGTGCTGCACCCATTAACTCGTCATTTATATTAGGTATACCTCCTAATGCTATCCCTCCCCACTCCTCCAACCCCACAACAGGCCCTGGTGTGTGATGTTCCCCTTCCTGTGTCCAAGGGTTCTCATTGTTCAATTCCCACCTATGAGTGAGAACATGCGGTGTTTGGTTTTTTGTCCTTGCGATAGTTTGCTGAGAATGATGGTTTCCAGCTTCATCCATGTCGCTACAAAGGACATGAACTCATCCTTTTTTATGGCTGCATAGTATTCCATGGTGTATATGTGCCACATTTTCTTTATCCAGTATATCATTGTTGGACATTGGGGTTGGTTCCAAGTCTTTGCTCTTGTGAATAGTGCTGCAGTAAACATACGTGTGCATGTTTCTTTATAGCGGCATGATTTATAATCCTTTGGGTATATACCTAGTAATGGGATGGCCGGGTCAAATGATATTTCTAGTTCTAGATCCCTGAGGAATCGCCACACTGTCCTCCACAATGGTTGAACTAGTTTACAGTCCCACCAACAGTGTAAAAGTGTTCCTATTTCTCCACATCCTCTCCAGCACCTGTTGTTTCCTGACTTTTTAATGATCGCCATTCTGACTGGTGTGAGATAGTATCTCATTGTGGTTTTGATTTGCATTTCTCTGATGGCCAGTGATGATGAGCATTTTTTCATGTGTCTTTTGGCTGCATAAATGTCTTCTTTTGAGAAGTGTCTGTTCATATCCTTCACCCACTTTTTGATGGGGTTGTTTTTTTCTTGTAAATTTGTTTGAGTTAATTGTAGATTGTGGATATTAGCCCTTTGTCAGATGAGTAGATTGCAAAAATTTTCTCCTATTCTGTAGGTTGCCTGTTCACTCTGATGGTAGTTTCTTTTGCTGTGCAGAAGCTCTTTAGTTTAATTAGATCCCATTTGTCAATTTTGGCTTTTGTTGCCATTGCTTTTGGTGTTTTAGACGTGAAGTCCTTGCCCATGCCTATGTCCTGAATGTTATTGCCCAGGTTTTCTTCTAGGGGTTTTATGGTTTTAGGTCTAACTTTTAAGTCTTTAATCCAACTTGAATTAATTTTTGTGTAAGGTGTAAGGAAGGGATCCAGTTTCAGCTTTCTACATATGGCTAGCCTGTTTTCCCAGCACCATTTGTTGAATAGGGAATCCTTTCCCCATTTCTTGTTTTTGTCAGGTTTGTCACAGATCAGATAGTTGTAGATGTGTGGTATTATTTCTGAGGGCTCTGTTCTGTTCCATTGGTCTATATTTCTGTTTTGGTACCAGTACCATGCTGTTTTGGTTACTGTAGGAAGGCAGCATTCTTAACAAAAAAGTTAATGCACATTTAAAAATAAATTAAGTATACTAAAACTGTTTCCCAACTGGAGAAAATGATTTTTTCTTCTTAGAGCTTACTGTTAGTATTAAAACTTCCTTTACTGTGAGAGAAGCGAATGAGTAATGCTGAGCACTTTCTTTCCTGAGCCACTTATCTGTCAGACCATTGTTGTCATGCCCCCTAATAAATGATTATTAACTGATCTTTCTATGATCCCATCATACACCTATAAGGCTAGATGATGATGAAAATTCTTTGTCAGAAACAGTAACATCCACAGAATTGATTAGATGTGGAATCCTGGCTTCTGCTGCAACAGTGGAACTGAGATATTAGGGTGTCCTGAAGCACAAGGTTAAAAGTACCTGGTCATGGTGTTGATAAAGGTTAAGCATACAGACCTTGAAATCAGACAGAACTGCTTAATGTACCATTTACCTGCTATATGTTTTGAATCAGTTACTTAATAGTGCTGAGACTTGTCTCCTCTGAAAAAAAGAGTAATAAGAACTTGCTCATATTTGGGAGGCTGAGGCAGGTGGATCCCTTGAGGCCAGGAGTTTGAGACCAGCTTTGGCAACATGGCAAAACCCTGTCTCTACAAAAAATACAAAAATAGCCAGTCATGGTGGTGCACGCCTGTAGTCCCAGCTTCTCGGGAGGCTGAAATGGGAGATCACTTGAGCATAGGAGGTCGAGGCTGCAGTGAGCTGTGATTGAGCCACTGCACTCCAGCCTGGGTAACAGAGTGAGACCCTGTCTCAAAAAAAGAAAAAAAGAAGAAAAAAAGAACTTGCTCATGGGGTTGCTATAAGTGTTTTGTGAAACAATATTTGGAAAATGCTAGCACATTGCCTGACACATAGCAAAGACTCAAGAAATGATAGCTTTTAGGTTTATCATCATTCATACATTTTAGAACCTACCAATTTGAATTTTATCCGGCTTGCTATTTTTTTTTCCTTTTTTACTTGGTCTATCTCTTGAAGGTTTTCATTGTTGTTGGTGCTGGTGTTTAACAAGAAATAATTAACTTATTTAGTTAGTAAAGTAGGCAAAATAAGACAGAACTCAGGTTTAACAATACCATGACTGTTAGCTATATGATCGTGGAAGGTGAGAAACCTTGCCTGCATTTTTGTTTTCTACTCAGATCACATTCATTAAACTTCTGCAACTAAGAAGGGATAGTGAAGGCGATTAGAAGGAGGAATAGTGTAAGATCTCATAGTGAGATTCAAGAAAGTAAACTTTGGCTGGGCATGATAGTTCACACCTGTAACTCCAGCACTTTGGGAAGCCAAACGAGAGAATGATTGAGCCCAGGAGTTCAAGACCAGCCTGGGCAATGTAGTGAGACCCCATCTCTACAAAAAATAAAAACAAAAAAATAGCTGGGTATGGTGGTACATGCCTGTGGTCCCAGCTACTCAGAAGGTTGAGGGAGGAGAATTGCTTGAGTCTGGGAGGCTGAGCATGAAGTGAGCTGAGATAGTGTCACTGCACCCTAGCCTGGGTGATAGAATGAGAATTTGTCTCAAAATACCAAAAACAAAGAAAGTTAACTTCTCCACAGACTCTAGAACCTAACCTGGAGAAAGTCCTTAAAGTTTGAAAGAAGAAATTTAGAGGAAGGAGATTTGAGATACAGTTTGAAGAGTACCTGCTGAAATTATATAACTTTCCACTATAGTATATTTTGAAACAAATTTAAAGAAGCTTTAAACTCATTTCATGGGTTTTAGATCCACATTAAGTAACCACCAAAAATGGTCAGGATTAGGGGTCATCCTAAATGTGGTGAAGGGTCAGTGGAATGGGGTCTGAAGGCATGAGGATAAGAACAAGGAGGGGCATTTGATGCATAAAATGCTTCTGGTACCTTGCCTGGTCCCAGAAGCAGAATGCCAGGCTGACTAGACCATCGTCAGACCCAGTATGTATTACATTTCTGATATTCTGAACAGATTGTCTATTGGATTATAACCAGGTAATTCTTCCAAAATAATTTAGACAGAAGCAGATATACACACAGTCCTAGTGAACATTACCCAAAATAACTTTATCTATCCATGGTCTCTAAAGGCAAAATGCAATACAAATGAAAGGTTTGCAGAAGTTTTGATTGGGAGTGGAGGAACTCTTGCTGCATTAATGTGTGGGAATAAAAAGAGTTCCAAATCTAGCAGTGCCTATTTTCTGTTCTGGAAAATATAGAAAATAACTTGCCTTGCACACACCTCCTCTTCTCTCTCTCTCTTTTTTTAATTATATAGGTTTTGCTCATCCCAAACTGCCACTTTGGAATGACTGACTTGTCTGATACTTCTGTGCTTCAGTACATGTTTTATTGCCTGCAGTCTACTTTATGATGTGTTGGTGAGATTGGCCCTTTTTTTGCACACAAAATCATCAAAGTCCAAATTATTTTTGGACAAATAGAACCACCAAATAACAAAAATTTCAATCTATGAGTTTTAAAAATATAAATGAATACTGTCTACTCACTTAGTAATTTTCATTCAAATTTTTTTTTCAAGCATATGTGTTTTCGACTGAGGTTATTGAGGTCTTAGCTCTATAAAGGACCAGTGTTAGATGTGGGACATATTAAAGAGATGAACCATACTTAGCATAGTAGAAAATATTATAGAATTGCAGTTAGAAGACCTGGTTTGTAATCTCTTCTACTTCCAGCTTTCAAATTCACCCTCTGCAAGCTATTTAGCATTTTTAGCCCTCAGTTTCTTCATTTGGGAAAATGTAGAAATATTATCTGAGGTGTTCACCGTTTCATAATTTGTTCATAATTTATCATAAAATGCTCAAAATTTTTAATTCTGTGGAGTTTTATTGTTTTTACTGTTCATTATTCTTTTAAAAAATTGATCTTATCGAACAAAACCTCTTTTGGGTTCTACAACTTTAAATCAATGCAGCAGGCAGCAATGGAAACAAATCTCTGATAGAAATTCAAAAAGAAAGAAAAACTGATTAGAACACCACGCCTTCTGGTATTCATAGCAACACTTACATCATGTTGTTCCTCAGCTCAAATAACCTTTGCTGGCCCTTCTCACATGTATAGGTCTTAGCCTTCACCTCCAACCTTGTGTCTCCTCTCTTCTGTTGCCCTTCTGGGACACTATCTATGTGCCCCAGACCAGCTGAACAGCTTGCCATTTTCTGAATATTTCATGGGCTTTTTTTTTTTTGGCTTCCCCTTTGTTGCTGGTGAATTGTGTACTTCCATCTTGACTCACTTTAAATTTTTTATAATACTCATCCTTCCTAATTCTCTTGCCACATTTTTTGTTTTTTGAAGCCAATGTCGCTTATCTACCCTGGCACTTGGAACAGTGTGACACAGACAATCAACAAATATTGCTGGAAAATGACTAGGAATCCAGAAAGCATCCAGTGATTTCAGATCTATAGAACATGTTGTTCTACAAGCCAGTGAAGTATCTTAGGTTTGATGGCGTTTGTGGAAGATAGATATTAATGTTCTTCTGGAATTCTTTGCTCTGTATTTGGAGGACATCAGCAGATGGCCATCTCTCTTATCTTGAATTGGGCCACTCTCAACAACTCTGATGTGGAAGCTAGAGGGTCCAAATTTTACATTTTTCTTTTAATTTTCTGACTTATCAAGACATAAGAATTTCCTGGAGGTTTTTCTACTAGTTCATACATTATCATATTCAAGATATGTCATGATAAGCTAAGACCACTACAGCCCAGGAAGGCAAAATTTTGATGTCTTGTTCATGGATAACAGAAATCTGAAATCCTAAACGGAAGGGATTAATTCAGAGTATTGCTCAATGAATGGTGAGCAAATGTCTGTGTTAGCGTATCCATCATTAATGAAGAGCATTTGATTAGCTTGGAAAAGGCCAGGTTTGCTATGACCTTCCCCAGAAAGAAGAACAAGAGGGTGGACAAATGCAAGTACTGGATCTGAGTGTTTCATAAATTGTTTATTTCCAGTATACAAGTACTATTTAGAGTGGTTTTTCTTACCACTGGGCTTCAATACTAGCAGTGGTGTAGCCTGTTGGATTCCTTACATACTTCTTGGATACTTCATTGTAAAAGGGGTACAAGATGCTTTTTAATAATTCTTTAAACTTACCACGTATCTTAATATTGGGTGAAGCAAGGTTACTGGGAAACATTATTATTATTAATTAGAATATGTGTTTGTATTTAGTCAAGCATTGGGAGCATGCTCTTTTTCATATTCTATTTAGTTAGCTTCAAGGAGTAATGATGCTTCTCAGCATCTGAATCTCAGAGAGCTGGAAGACTGGCAACATATATGTCATTATGTCCCACAGTGTCCATTTCAAATACAGAATCTTCTTAAGACCTGGAGTGAGAGCTGTGTTAATTGCTTACACAAATATTGGCTAACACTTCTTTTTTTTTTTTTTTTTTGAGACAGAGTTTCACTCTTGTTGCCCAGGCTGGAGTGCAATGGTGCGATCTTGGCTCACCACAACCTCTGCCTCCCGGGTTCAAGCAATTCTCCTGACTCAGCCTCCCGAGTAGCTGGAATTACAGGCATGTGCCACCACACCCGGCTAATTTTGTATTTTTAGTAGAGATAAGGTTTCTCCATGTTGGTCAGGCTGGTCTCAAACTCCCAACCTCAGGTGATCCACCCGCCTCAGCCTCTAAAAGTGCTGGGATTACAGGTGTGAGCCAACACGCCCAGCCAACACTTTGGTTTTTAAACTGTACCCTAACTTTGACAGTGGAAAATTTTATGTAAGTGTATCAACAAGCAGATAGGAGATGAGCAGGCCTCTAAAATAGATGTTCAAAAGCTCCTCTGAACAAACCTCATGTGTTGAGTAGGATAATGCATTTTAAGAAGGAGAAAAGTAGTAAAGGGGACCCCCTTGGCCCCGCTGATATACCTGTAACATGAAGAACAACTCGAGTTTGGGTCTCATCTTAGAAACTTGGCGCCTAATGTATTTAAATCAACCTTAGCATTCTGGTGCATCACAATATACAAAATGATGAATGGATTATAAAGTGTTTAGGCCTCAGAATACATATATTGACACAGTTCTTGAGAAGCAGCAAATCTACTTCATGTTTCTGCTCATATACATAATGCTCTTAGCAGGTCTGCCAGAGAGTCTGTTGTGTCTTCCAATAGGTGTGGAGTGTGGAAACCATGGGTAGTTGAGTAGTTGGCATTTGACCGGCCCTGGCTTTTCCAATAGCATTCAACAGTGAATCTGGAGCTGTTGTTTAGATTGGTGCTGTTATCTTATTTGAGGTTTGAACTTGCTGTATTTCGTGTTTATTCTGTACTATAAGTTGCTCTACCTAAGATTACCAGTGGCTTTGAAAACAAGTGTCTGTTGAATAGTTTTTTTGTCTCCTCTTTATTTTTGCCAGCTGACCTTTGGCCTGTAACTATAAATAAAGATATTCCTGTCTTGAATGACTAAATAGGAATGAATTTAGAGATGCTCATATAAATACTATACTATTCTATAAACAGTGAAAGGACTTGGAGAAGCATTCTGAAGTACTAGGAAGATTAAAATTTCTATTGATTCTTATAGCTGACATCATGTGGTAGATTAAAGATTTCTAAGACATTTCAGAAGACTTTTTGCAATTGGAATGTATATTTTACAGTATTTTCCTAATATAGATATGGTAACTCAACAATTGAGAAGTTGTGGGGATTTTTGTTTGTTTGCTTCATATATCAGCATTGCATCAGTGACTAGGCAGTGCTTAATATTTCCTTTTACCCCTTCGCTAAGTTTTTGATGGCTTCATTTCATTTGACACTTCACACGAGTCCCTAAAACACCAAGACTGTATAATTCATATATCACAGGTGACAGTTCATGGATAACATATCATGTTTGGTTCTCTATTAGATCTGCTATAATCTATGGGCCTTGTGATGAATAAAGAGAAAGTGCTCTATCATAGCGCTCTATCACTGTCTATTACCTGGAAACACTGCACAGACACTAATTAGAGGAGCGTTTTCTAAAGGCCTAGAGTAAGACGAAAATCACAAGTAACTGAACCACAATCTCCCAGCGAGTTTCAAGCCAGAAGGTGCTGGGCCACAGAATGGTCTGCTACGGTTTTAGGCCCCTTCTTTATGTGGCTGAGGCAAACTTTGGTCCACAACTGCCTGAACCCACGCATCCACGTATATCTTCTGTCAGTTCTCCAGTGCTTAGAAGAAACTTCAAGCACTATTGCAAATATGCAAATATGTGTTGCATATTTTCGGGCCCTAATATGTTCTGAAAACCATACTCTCACTATTGACACAAACCAATTTAATTTGTTTTCATCCACCCCAAGAGAAAATAGGTTAGCCTGGGTTGTTAGAGAGTTCTTTGAAAAAAGAGGCTCATCTTTTTTGGGTTCTATAAAGTGTTTCTTAACTTTCAATGTGCATACGACTTCTCTGGGATCTTTTTCAAAATGCAGATTCTGATTCAGTAGATCTGGGTGGAGCCCAAGATTCTGCATTTCTAACAAGCTGCAGCCCCCTGTCCACACATTGAAGAACAAGGTTCTAAAAAGAACTCCTTGAAGTGTATGCCTGAAGACAGTTCGTGGCAGCTCTGAGTTGAAGATAGTGAGGAATTGTTCAGATTCCAGTTAGAAACCCATCTGCCATAGCATGTGTCCTGTTTATTTCCATTAACAAGTCCTGTTCTCATTATTGATCTGACCAGCCTTGAAGGGTCAGACTTCATCCCTGAAAGAACATCCTGCACCCTGAGCCACAAGGAAAACCATCCAGCAAGGGGATTAATATCACCCCTTTCGGTATTGACCCTCCACTAGGGGAGCTAGTATTTCTGGCCCTGAGCCAGCTGATCTCATCCACAAATTAAGCTGACAGTTCCTCCCAGCAATAAACGTTGTCTTGGAGCCAAGGCAACATTGATTTAATCGGTCTCAAACAGATTCACTGGCCACAATTTCACAGATTCCTGAGGGAGAGCCCCCCACTGCGCAGGGGTGCTGCAACCCTCTTTCTTTCCTCTTCTTCTCTCTCCATCTTCACTGATGCTGCTGGTCAGTGGGTTGGAACCGCTGCACAAGACAGGATGGAGTGAGATGGGCATTGATTAAGGTGAATGGGACTTAGATTAAGGCAGAGGGGACCAGGATCTGGGTCAGAGGATGAAGAACAAGGACTGGGAAAGAGCAGAGAGTGAAGAAACATAGGAAAGTAGTTTTCTGTAGATTTGAGACTATTTGATGCCTCTCATAATATGTATACTTTCTCATGGAATATAAAGTCCATAGATATCAGAAACATAAAAACTTCAAAACTGGAGGAGGAAAGGAGTCTTTCTCATTCTTTGTGTTTATTAGAGGTTTGCAAAGCAACAACTAGAACAATGGAATCCTGTTAAGTAGTAGTTATGTGGAATATGGAAAGGAATTCAGTAACTGAAATGGATGACTAAGAGGAAGCTATTTGCTGGATATATGTGAAGTCCAGTGAACAGATTGGGTACTAGACCTTTTTCTAATGCTTCAAGGTCTGGGATTCACAAACTCCCTCAGTTTCAAGGAATTCTTGAACCTCCTGAGATTATATCTAATATATGCCAGGTATAATTTGCATGTATGAACATTTTCAGAAACTGAAATAAGTTCCTTTTCTTTCATTAGGATATCAGAGTTGTTTGCAATTTATAAAACGTTAAGCAAAAACAGTGCCCTAAGAGAAGGACATTTTGGCTATGTGGCTGTGATGTCTGGTAAATTACTCTGTACTCCAAACTTGGTCAGAAAATACTTTGTAATAAATTAAGGAAAAAATGGAACCCAACTCCTCCAATAGCAAGAGCTAAGACTGACACTGGTTTTCTTTGTTAGGATGAACCAACCATTCAAGCTAAGGAGAACTCAAGAGGTGATGGTGAGGAGGGAGCATTTACACTGAAAGGAAACTCAGGCCTAGAATAGTATAAATAACTCATCCAGTGTCTCTTGGCAGAGCTAGAATGAAAACCTGTCTCACTCTTAATCTAGTGCACTTTTTTACTTCACCCTAAAGTTCTAATTTAGATGTCACTGTCAAAAATGTGCTCTAGCTTTTATTTTTTATATATTTATATATTTTGAGATGGAGTCTCGGTCTGTCGCCCAGGCTGGAGTGCAGTGGCGCGATCTCAGCTTACAGCAACCTCCACCTCCCAGGTTTAAGTGATTCTCCTGCCTCAGTCTCCCGAGTAGTTGGGATTACAGGCATGAGCCACCACACCTGGCCTCTAGTTCTCTTTTCTAATTCAATTCCCCACCTCCCATGATGACCTTGAGGGCTTCATGTCCTTGGCATATACCCTTAGACCCAAAATTACTTAGTGATTTTTAGTTTTTTCTTGTTTTATTGCACAATAATAAAGTTAAAAAGATCGGTTTCCATTTTCAAGACCTTTTTACTTTTGCTATTTAGTCAAAACCCTATTCTAACATTTCACAATATTGTAAGAATGCAGAGGGCTATAAATCCATGCCTGAATCTCAGTTTCATGTATTCTGTCCGTGTCTGTAGATTCTCTAGTCCCATATGGGTTCATGCAGTTGCATTATGCACTCTGACATCCATGTCATGTCATGTTTATCCAACTGTTTTACTACTAGTCAAAATCAGAAGTTTTTTTCCTTCCCAGTTCTCCCAACAGGGCCTTCCCAGCTTAGAGAAAAATGAAGCTGTCGGCCATCAGTTTATACATCATCACCAACGATAAACATGCCAGGATCAGAACCTGCATTTTGTTATCTGACCATTGTTGATGGCAGGGAAAAAAAGACAGCTTGATTTTCATTAGCTGAGCTGACCCCTAGCCCTAGGAGCAGTGGGAAAAAAAAATACATTTTGACTGGAAGTAAACTGAGGAAACATGACATGGAGTCAGGGAGGGATTGTAGATCTTTCCCAGAGGTGTGATTTTTTAACAGACTGGCTTTTGGCGTTTGAGGAAAATCTCAACAACTCTCTGGACAGAATTTTCATAACTGTCCACTTGGCAGGGCTGATGTGTGTCTTGAAATAATTTTCAAGATTTGATTTTGAAATCTGAAATTTGATTTTATTGTATGTGCTCTGGTTTTTGTATACAGTGGTCTTGTTTCCTGAGGCCTGGAAATGTAGACAAGTTTCCCCTCCTCCTGCATTTTATCCCCTTTGTATCTGTGGCCTCTCACAGAGTGGCTGGCACATGGCTATATAAGAAATTCCTCCAAAAGGAGTTAAGTGTTTATGTGGGGATGGGAGCTACCTTTTATTTGCCATATGATAGGGGAGAAGGAGCAGAGGCTTTGGGGGTCAGATGGGTCTGAGAGTATCAATCTGGAAATGTCACTTACTGATTTAATCTCAACGTCTTCATCTTTATTATGGCTATAAGACCTTCTTCCAAGAGATGTTAGAAATAAGTGATTAACATGGCTGCATTTAGTGACTCATACCTGTAATCCCAGCACTTTGGGAGGCCAAGGCGGGTGGATCACCTGAGGTCAGGAGTTTGAGACCAGCCTGGCCAACATGGTGAAACCCCATCTCTACTAAAAATAAAAAAATTAGCTGGGTGTGGTGGCGCATGCCTGTAATCTCAGTTACTCGAGAGGCTGAGGGAGGAAAATTGCTGGAACTCAGGAGGCGGAGGTTGAGGTGAGCCAAGATTGTGCCATTGCACTCCAGCCCAGGCAACAACAGCGAGACTCTGTCTTAAACAAAACGAAACAAAACAAAACAAAAAAAGTAAGTGATTAACACGTATGTGTAAAGTGTTGGCATGTAATGAGTTCTTGATATAGGTAAATTCTTTTTCCTCTTTTGGTTGCTTCTCTCTTTTGGTATAAATGCTGGATGTGCTAGAAATCTAGAGCTAGCTCAATACAACTTTTACATGAATCTCATGGCCTTTCTTTTAAATTTTCTTTGTGATAAAGAAGGAAGAATAAAGGCATTAGAATCAGTTAGACATAAAACACATTCTTCTTTTTATAGAGTGTTCAACTAAAAACAAGGGTCTTGACACAACCACTGCCTGAAACAAGATATATTAGTTGCATAACCACCCCTGTATCTACAAGCAGTTATTTCCTATTTTTCTATTGTATTTACTCTTAAAAGTAATGTTTGTGGCTCTAACAAAAGATAGATAGAAGAGCTTTATGAAATAGAACATAGGGGAAGTATTGGGAGAATGGAAAGTAGTGGGGAAAGGACCAGGGTGTGGGCAGGGAAGAGAAGAGCAAGGCAGCCGGAGGGCTGAGGGTTTGGCAAACAGTGCATAGCCTTTGTTGTACTGGTTGGAAAGGCTGCCCTGGTCTTCTTTTTCCATCGTCTGGATGCCACCATATGGCTACTCTATCTTGGCTGGGGTTTTCAGGGTTAAGATTCAAATCTCTTCTTCTTTTCCTCTTTAGAACTATAATAAAAACACCAGGAGGGTCTTGCTCCCTCTGGCCAAGAATAAGATGAAAGAACAAAGGAAACTTGATTCTATGCCCAGAAATTGGATTTTCCTTATTGGGTCCATTTTTAAAACCCTGGAGTAGAAGATTCACCTGGACTTGGGGCATTTCATTTGGACTAGGCTTAAGATCCTAGGGTAAACAATTGGAATGCTGCTATACAGACTTGGTGGCTGCGTTATGAGGTGTGTGTGTGGGAGGGTGGGAGGTCGGGGGAAGATTAAGGAAATACTTTCAGTAAGAAAGGTTAAGACTTCTGCTAATCATTGGTAGTGAGGCAACAATTCCACTCATGGACATTCGCAATTCATTTGAACAAGTATTTGCCAATTGCCTGCTCTTTGTGGGTCAAGGAGGGCAAAGGGTTCTCTGCTCTCCTGGGTGTGGTATTATGGTTAGGCTGAACAGCTTACACAGGAAACAGTCAAAGAAACAGTAGAAATAAAGCACTCAGTTGGCTATCATTAACTGGCCCCAGTTTCAATAATTAGTCTGTAGTATGGGAGTAGACAGAAAGGTCAGTGATCAGTGCTGATTACTGAGGAGCTCTTGTAGCAAATTTCATGAAAGAGGGAATCCTAGCAGGGGATACAAGGTAGTGCCTATCTCCATTTCCTTTTTTTTTTTTTTTTTTCTTTTTTTGAGATGGAGTTTCGCTCTTGCTGCCCCAGGCTGGAGTTCAATGGCGCGATCTTGGCTCACCGCAACCTTCGCCTCCCGCGTACAAGTGATTCTCCTGCCTCAGCCTCCTGAGTAGCTGGGATTACGGGCATGCGCTACCAGGCCTGGCTGATTTTGTATTTTTTAGTAGAGATGGGGTTTCTCCATGTTGGTCAGGCTGGTCTTGAACTCCTGACCTCAGGTGATCCACTCGCCTCAGCCTCCCTAAGTGCTGGGATTACAGGCGTGAGCCACCGCACCCGGCCCTCCATTTATTGATACATTCTTTTCAGGTCCTTATCTATGCCCTAAGAAAGAACAACAGTTCTCCTCATGTGCCATATTGTCTTTGTATAAGTGTTCCCTCTGCCTAGAAGGATCCTCTTTGTTTTTATTTGTTCTTTTGATTGTTCATTCATACATAAGCTGGTTGAATCCTATTTATCTTTCAGAACTTATTTTCTGTGTCACCTCCTCCTCCAGGAAGCCTTCCCAGAGAACTGACTCCCTTCCCCTCCAGCTGCCCCTAGATTGAACAGGGTGTTTCTTTTCCATGTTACATCAGCACCTATGCATACCTTACATACAGTGAAATGAGGGCAGATACTGCATCCTTGACCAGCCTCTGGTCTCCTTTAGCACAGTAATTTGTTTTAGCTTGACAGTCTGTAGTCAACTCAAGAAAGGTTTTTTTGAATGAGTCAATAAGAGAATACCAGATAAAGAGTCATGAACATCACATTGCTTCATTAGCTGTTTGTTTCTGGGGAGAACATTTTTATAGCAAGGAGTCTCATTTCAGAATCAGAATTTCTAATGCATACCTTATCCCTGAAAATTATGCGCTTGTCTGGCAGTGATTCCTGCACACCCAGAAGAAGAAACCTCTTAGCATTGGCCATAGGTGATCACGGGCCCCCACTCTCCTGCTGGGAGATGTATGGCTCCACGTTCCTCCAGGAGTGAGAATGCTGAGGCTGGCTGCTTCTAGGATGAATGAAGGGTCTTGGCAAAGGCTAACTGAACAAGCTTTGGGGTCCATTTGGAGGTTGACCTTTGTGTGTTGTGCAGCACATGCTCTGCTGGGAATGGGTGCTGTGTTTAGTGATCCACTTTCCCTGTAAGAGATGCAGAGATGGGAGGCCAACCAGAGAGAGGTTAAAGAGATGTGGGAGACTTACAGCTGGGGATCATTAACAACAATCAAGACCAACATAAAAAGGCAGCAGGACTTCTCTCCCTCTTGGCCTTGGACGCCATCTGGATAGAAGAAGTTTGGTTTAAACTTCTTAGCACTCTAAGATGGTTTCTTAAACTGCTCCATAGAAGTCCCTCAAGGTTGTAAAATCTATCACTCGAAGCCCCTTACCAGAAAATCTGTACCCTTTTAGACTGCAGCAGATGACTGATAACATAAATAGCATACTTACTTTTTTTTCTCAGAAATACCTGGTAGGCCCAATGGATCTTTTTACACATTCTGAAAGCCATTAACTTTTTCTAATTAGAACTAGACAGGATTCTTCAACTGCCCCACCCTCATGTCCTTTCTAAGGGCCCACCGTCTGCCAGAGCTGGTTGGAATACAGGTGGACTCCTGAACCTGGGGCAGCCCGGGGACTAAGACAAGCCCTGGCTAAATGAATCAGAGTTTTTCCCCATCAAGAAAATTAGAAGCAAGAACAGAGGGAATTTGCAGTCTGTGATGGACCCTTGAGATGAAAGGTCAAGGTCTTATAGAATTAGAGCTGGGTCTGCTTTCCTGATGTCACCTGCACACTGAAGTCATGAAAGGCTGGATAGTGAAGACCTGAGAAAGCAGCCAAGTGGAGGGGATGGATCAAATGTGCAGAGAGAAGGAAAGATGACACCGTACAGGCCCTAAGAGTTGGAGGTGATGGCCTCAGTGACTGCATGCAGGTTTCCAAGTCCAGGCCCAACTCTACTGTGTTTCCTGTCCTTGGATGCATGGATGTCCGTGACATCATCATTGTTGTGTCCATCTAACTCTCCTTTCACTAGCTTGAGAGGTTTTCTATTCCTAGCAATAGAAAATGCTCTGAACTTGTCCCTGTCAGGCTTTACGTGACCATGGCATTTATTTTATTTTATTTTATTTTTTTGAGATGGAGTCTCACTCTGTTGCCCAGGCTAGAGTGCAGTGGTGTGATCTCAGCTCACTGCAACCTCCAGCCTCCTGGGTTCAAATGATTCTCCCGCCTCAGCCTCCTTAATAGCTGGGATTACAGGCGCCTGCCATCATGCCCCGCTAGTTTTTGTATTTTTAGTAGAGATGGGGTTTCACCATGTTGGCCAGGTTGGTCTCAAACTCCCAACCTCAGGTGATCCACCCTCCTTGGCTTCCCAAAGTGCTGGGATTACAGACATGAGCATACATGCCCTGCTGACCATGGCACTTATATTGCTTTTTCTGTGGTGACTAAAAGCAAAGTATGTAGACGAAAGGGGACTAAAGGGGGATGATCAATGTTTGTTTTTACCCTCTTAATAACAGCAATAGTTCTTGGCCTCTGGAACCCACTGACTCTGTCTTAGTCATCTGTATTGTGCAACAGTTTGGGCCTTAATGGTATTCTGTCCTACAAGAGTCTCTAATCTTTCTAGACATGTAGTATTTTTGTTGAGATTGTGTCCAGCAATATGTTTCATGCTTTGCTTAATCTCCCCACATCAGTCAGTTTTGGGGCACAGTGCAGGCATCCAGCAGGTATTCCTTGACACGGGAAGGTAATGATGGGGATTCATGTTTTCCTCATATATATTAGTAAGTAAAGAAAACCACTCGATTCCTTCATATAATTTGCTTTTGAAACCTGTGCCATAAAATCAAAAGTGGAAGCTCAGTTCTACCCCCTCGTTTTGTAGTTGATACTTGGAGTGTCAAGAGAGGTTAGTTTGATGATAGAGTCCCAGTTCCAGGGACATTCTATGCCTTTGAATTTTTTTTTTCTTTCACACAAATTAAAATAACCTTATAGTTTTTTTGACCTGATTATAAAAGAAATGTATGTTTACAACACTCAGGGCCTTGGTGTTACTATTCTCTCTGCCTAGAACACTTTTCTCAACATGATGCTTGTGGCTGGGTCCTTTGTTTCATTCAAGTCTCTGCTCAAATGTAACTCTGAGAGGTCTTTGAACATCCTAAAGTATAATAGCCCAGTAGTTGCTCTCAATCACCTCTCCCTGCTTTCCTTTCCTCCACTGCACATACTACCTGCTGACCTTATATTCTATTTTTATTTATCCCTTGCCTTCCCCACAACATTGTAAGCCCATGAGCACAACAGGGGCTTTGTTTAGTCCTCGGTCATATCTTCATTGCCTAACGTAGTGCGAAGAACATGGTATGAAAACAGATATGCAGAATGAATATATAGTATAAATGAAATGGAAAAATTTAAAGACTTCCTAAGGAATAGAATAGAAAATAAATATTACCCACATTCCCACCACCCCAGAAATAAATGTTAACATTTTAGTAGACAAAATCTTGAATATTTTAAAGAAAGAGAACTTGTTGTTTGTGATTAGATTTTTTTTTTCATTGCAATGAATGTAGGTGTCTTTCCATGTGACATCAGTAGTTGTCAGCCACAGTAGTGTAGCAGCAGTTAGAGGGTGCTAAAATCCACATTTCAAAGTCCTTCCTCAGACCGATTCAATCAGATATTTCAGATGGAGAGCCAACATTCCTAGCTTTAGAAATGATTTGTATGCACAGTTGGAGTTGCAAGTTACTGGTCTACATCATTATTTTAGTTGCAAAGAATGGAAAGTTTTTTTTTCTTTTTGTAAAGCTAATGGACCCTTATAGGACTCTTAAACTATGACTAATGAAGCCAGATGTACCTACCAGTAATTGGGTTCATAATATGGCGATACTAACAAATATTTTTTAGTACTTACTATGAATTTAATTATATTTCAAGATACATGTACAGATGCTCCTTGACTTACCATGGGGTTATGCCCCAAGAGACTCATCCTAAGTTGAAAATATCGTAAGTCAAAAATGCATTTAATACATTTAACCCATGGAATGTCATAGCTTAGCCTAGCCTATCTTAAACATGCTCAGAGTATTTACATTAGCCTACAGTTGCGCAAAATCATCCAACATGAAGCCCATTTTACAATTAAGTACTGAATATCTCACATAATTTAGTGAGTGCTGTGCTGAAAGTGAAAAGCAGAATGGTCCTATGGGCATTGGAAGTGTGTTTCTACTAATCGTGTATTGCTTTTGCACTGTTGTCAAGTCAAAATATTGTAAGTTGAACCACTGTAAGTCAGAGAGTTTCTGTATCTATTCCTTTCATCCCCACAGAACTGTTAAGTTTGGTTCCTTGTTATTGCCATTTTACAGATGAAGAAATTGAGACACAAAGTGTAATTTACCCACATAACCATCATATAGCAGCTAATAAGAAATAAAGCTGGGATTTGAGCCCATTCTTCTAACCCTGATACTGTACAGCCCAATGGATTCTAATATAAATATAAAAATTAACATTGACTTAGTTTTCCAGTCTGAAAATAGCTTTTGCTTTGGAAGGCATAGTGGAACAGTGGAAAGACTTTCTCTGTCACATTTGAAGACATTTAGTGATTATCTACTTAATGACTGGCTGACCTTGGGCAAATTGTTTAACTTCCGTAGCTTAGCCATATTTGAAAAATGGAACAAAGATGCCAACTAAATACCTGTGGAGAGAATGGAGATGTTACATCTGTAACCGTGCCTGGCACAGGTAGGTCCTGAATAAATGATAGTGATTAGCATCATCATCACTTCACTTGATCCTCACAGACATACTGGGAAGGACACAGGAGGGGCTTTTGGAAAGGCGAGCTGTGCGGGGCTCAATTTGTAATGTTTTGCCTATACCTGTCTCCTTCCAATAAGCAGGGCCTGAATATGCTTTGACACATAATTTGATGGTTAAATCCTCTATTACATCATGGAACAAATGTCAAAAGCCCTTCCCCAACCCCTGTAAGTTATAGAGAAGAAGGCACATGGGGATAGAATGGGGGTAAGAAGATGGGTGGCATATCTGCCTTTTCCGGGTGTCTTTATTCTATTTTACTAGTGAGCGATTTAATTTTACTTGCAGAATAACAGAGATGTTAATTGTCATGTCAGAGCTTTTACATGACAAGATACAGTTAGTTATTGAATAGATAAGGACAATTTCAATGCAGTACAGTTATGGTTGAGGTAGCACAAGTGAACAGTGACATTTTTTATTTAACTCCCTATTACATTAAAAAATCAAGTCCTTATGCCTTTTCTTAAGAAATTATCAGTCATCAGTCTTTTGAACTATGAGGCTTATGAGTTAAATGGGTCTCCAGAATACATCTGAGAAATCACATTATAAAGTGTCCCTTGCCTACTAGGTTGAGTCTACTCTTGCTCAGAATGTTCAAAGCCTAAGGAGTAAAGGATAGGAGAGAGAAGTGAGTGGGCATAAAGTTGGAAGATAAGACAGAGATGGAAATTTTCTGCTGAGTGGGAGAGGCAATAGGAAGGAGACAGGAATTGAGAGACTGTGGCCAAGACACTGTGTGAAATGGTTACATGTCTTCTTCCCTGCAGATTCAGAGCTTAGACATTCTCAGACATGGCCAAAATATTACATGAAGTTTAGTCACACATCTCTAAGATTTTTTTCTACACTGGCTTTTATTTACTTACCTCCTATGTACTCTCGAAATACTCTACTTGGGCTTTCATTATTGAACCAGTTCATCTCTCAGAAAAGCCAGCAATAACCTGTATGCATTCTTGGCTTTTATCTTTGTAACCCTTCAGCATCTGTTTGGCATTGTTTTGCTCTCTCCTAAATGAACAAACATGCCCTTCCCTTGCCTTATGACAGCGCATCTTCTGGTTTTCTTTCTGTGAGTTTGACTACTCCTACTCAGTAGCCTTTATCGGCTCCCTCTTTTCTCCCTAGTCTTTAAATGTTGAGAGTTTTCAAGTTTTGTCCTTGGCCCTCTTCTCTTTGCCTGCTGTGCCTTTCCCCCAGGCAATTTTATTTATTCCCATGGCTTTAATTACATTCTGCCTTGCATAATCACTACACTGATGACTTGTAATTGTATAACTCTAGAATTGACTTCTCTTTAGACTCCTCTGTGAGCTGCACCTCACCCTGTTTCACGGACAAATGAAACCACTCAAAAACTGGACTCGACATCCCTCCCATCCCAAACAAAATCTTTTTTTTTTTTTTCCTTGAGATGGAGTCTTGCTCTGTTGCCCAGGCTGGAGTGCAGTGGTGTGATCTCGGCTCACTGCAACCTCCGTCTCCTGGGTTCAAGCGATTCTCCTGCCTCAGTCTCCTGAGTAGCTGGGATTACAGGTGCGCACCATGACGCCTGGCTAATTTTCATATTTTTTTAGTAGAGACGGGGTTTCGCCATGTTGGCCAGGCTGGTCTTGAACTCCTGACCTCAGGTGATCAGCCCACCTTGGCCTCCCAAAGTGCTGGGATTACAGGCATGAGCCACCATGCCTAGCCCCAAACAAAATTATCTTCCACTTTTTCCCATGGCCACTTTGTGTCCGCTCTCATCATTCATCTCTAAACATTCACCGTGTCCTATTTGTCTTACCTCCACCATTTTTTTTGGCTTTGTCTACTTCCCTCCTTGCTTTACAACTAAAAAGCAAAAAGTCTCAAGCCCTGAATGTTAGAGAATTTGCCTCTCCTACCAGCTTAAACATCTCCTCTGCTTACTCTCTGAGTCCCAGACCCTTTAGTATGCTTGTTTCTCCCTGGCTAAGAGTCTTCACGTGTTCTGTTCCCTGTCCCTGGAGGTCACTATCCACCTCCACATGCTAGGTAATTAATTGCTGCTTTTTCACTTCCTCAAGAAAGCATTTTCTGACCTTCCAGGTCCTTCCGCTATATGCTTTTATTATACCCTACCGTCTTCTTTTATTCAATATTTATCACAAAGTGTAACTAAGTAATTAACTAGGACAATACTAGTCAATCTTTACCATCCCAGTGAAATAGTAAAATTCATGAAGGTAGAAACCTTTTGTCTATTGTTCTATGCTTTCACCCACTGTACCTAGTACAGTGCTTTACACACTGAAGGCACTCAGTAAATATTAATTGAAAGAAAGATAAAATAAAAAGGAAATTCCTTTGTGGATATATAAAATTCAGGAAAAAGTCTGGGCAAAAAAACAGTCCATTACTAAACCTGGGAAGAATAGTTCAAAGTTCTTTCTTTCTACATTTGTCAGTCTCTCTGAATTTTTTTTAGTCAATTATTTTCCACCTGGCAAAATATATGAGATGGTGAGATACTTTCTCTGCTACAAAACTTCAGTCAAATAAGGGCAGTCTTTCCATATTTATGTTGAGACTGTATGTCCAGTTGTATAAATGTTCCTTGCCTCTAAAGAGGATTCTATTAGTTCCTTTTTCCTCTGTTAAAAAGTGAGAAAATTGAAAGCTATTATATTCCTGATTGCTGAAGCATGTTTCTGATTTAAACCCACATCTCTATGAATTTAATTTAATGATATATTGAAGATGGTTGAAGGGTATAAAGTTCTGCGCTGATATCAGTGTGAGTACACCTAAGTAATTAGTGAGGAGTGTAAATACTTTCTTTAAATAAACTGCTATCTTTTTAGCACTTGAGAGAGATTTCATCTTTATCCTTATTTCCTTGATTAAAAAAGAAATGATATGGCTGTTGTAACTCAAAGGCCTTACTCACTTCATAGGCATTGCTGACACTGGAAGCCATCGCATGAAGAGGAAAAGAAGGTGAAATTCTCACCCCTAACAAAACTGTCACAAAATTACATTTTCACATATCTGAGAAAAAAAAAAAAGAAAACACAATGCTATTCGTTTCTGACTTGGCTTTTTCAACAGCTAAATACAGGTGGCAAATGAGTAGCATTACACAACTATTTTATAAAACATCTCCAATAATTAGTACTGAAGTCTTTTGTGTGGAACAATATTTGGGAGATGGGCAGCTAAGAAATGGTATAAATGTCGAGTTACCAGGATGGGGACTTATTGGAAGACTGTCCAAAAGGTAGGAGAGAAAAGGAACAAGTGACTGTGGAAAAGCAGAGGGGAAGGGTGGTTTAAAGAGATCAGAGAGAACAAAAGGATGTGGGGCAGACTGCTGAAAGTCCATGGAGGATTGAAAACCAGAAGTGGAATTTTGAATTGGATGTACATATAAGAGGAATTGATTGAGGATAGAGGAGTGGGATGTAGTATTTCAGAATTATAGATGTGAGGAAATGGACAGGGCCATTGTCCACATGCATTGATGCACTGACCTGAGGAAAGGAATGAGCTCATCATGGTAAAAGACTGGGAAGTTGTGGGGTATTACATCAGCCTCTGATGAGGTCCTTCTCTTGCCTGCTGTTTTTCTGAGCCACTGGCAAGATCTCCCTTAACAATATGTTTCCTATTTGCTAACATGAGATCTGATGCTATTTTGTTTCTTTAAATTTTAAATCTTCTGAAGGAAAAGTGTTCTGATCACTAAAGAGATATCCCTAAATTGTGAGAATCTTTTTATCTATCTATCTATCTATCTATCTGTCTATCTATCTATCTATCTATCTATCATCCCTCTGTCTGTCTGAGTTTGGAAATGTTTAAATTTATTTATTAATTCAAATATGTATTTTATGTTTATGTCTTCCAGTATATGAAAGCATTTCATATTGAAGAAGGTTTCTAGTGATGGTAAGGGGTAGCTCTAGAAAAATAATGACAAGAAAATTTTGATTCAAAATAGGGAAGAGCTTTCCAGAATATGGAAAAGCTCTAAATGCGATAACTTGAGAAATGCTGAATTCTTCATAGTTAAAAGTGTTCAGATATGGGTGTGAGACAGCAGCTTGGCAGGAATGTGGCAATAAGAGAGGCAAGTCAGAAAGCCTGGACTAGGAGGCTTGTTATCCTGTGGCCCAAAGGCAGGCCATGTTCTCCCAATGTGTTTCCCCAGTCCTTTTTGGCTTTCATAATTTTTAAACTAGTTGCCAACATTTAAAAGTTGAGATAATTCAAAAGATACCAATTTTCAGCTTTTCTTGAAAAACTAGAAAATCTGGCAATAGTGCAGTATCCTTAATAAATGACACACCTCGGAGGAAAGTAGCCATTGTCCCTTGAGATAGTGCATAAGATCTGTTTGTCACAGGCCAGCAGAGTCCACTTCACACACAATCACATTACTTCTCTGTTCTTTGTGAACATTGGAGTTTTCACCTGGTTTATTTATTTTTTCCAATCCTTAGATTTTCCAAATTTATGAAAATTTCAGAATGTTTTTCTTTTTTCATTTTAGATACTTTGGATTTTGAGTGTGGTGTGATTAGCTGGTAGTCCATGGTTAAGATATTCTGTGTTTGAGATAGAAGTGAGAAGATCCAGGGGAGATAGCCAACGTTAAGTTTCTTTAATGATTTTAAGTTAGTTATGTCAAAGATACCTCATATTGATAATCACACATCTGATTGGATCAATCCTCTATATTGCTTACAAAAGTGGCTATTCTGTAAGTAATATTTCTTTATGAGTACATATACACTTTTCTTCATAAAGCACGATGCTTGAAACTGTAAGACAGCAATGAATCACTGTCATAAATCTTATTATAAATCTTCCAGGAATGTTTTAAACCAGATTGCAGTGATTTTTGCAGAATGCATATAGATTCTAGACATCCATATTTTATAAGCACCTGTCCTTAACTGCAAGAAGTCTGAAACAAATACATTTTGTTTGAGAGTTTAATGTCCTGTAATACTTTAAGATGTAACTAAAGATTCAGAAACTTCAAGTCTGTTAAATTTTACCATATACCTCAATGGCATCTTCTTTGCCTATCTCACTGGCAAAAATATGTTCACAATATATCCCACTTTATCAGTACTGTATAACTCTAGTACTCCAGTCCTTAGAGGCAAGCAAGAGATAAAGAAGAAATGTGTTTTTTTTTCTTTTTTTAAACCTGAAATCTATTACCTTTTTATTGTAAGAAATATACCTTTAAGACTCCTCTCTACTGCTTTTGATAGTTGCTGTGTCTGTAGTCAGTACATATCTCATGAAGATCTACATAATGCATGTAAACATTTTAATCTGATGACATTTCCCCATTAAAGAGAACAGAAAAGCACAAGATTTTTAAAATGCTTTTTAAAAAGAGGGTGTTATGTACATATCATTTATAAATAAACCTTGAAATAGCCATAAGATATATGTGGCAGATGGTTGAGTAAATGTGGTCAATATGAAGACTTCCACAATTGACTCAAGTGGGTAAAATTGATTTTTTAAACCTATAACCCATTATGATTATGCATTTAACCTAACCACACTCACATGGTGGTGTTTGCATTCTTATGTGGCTTGGATTTTCTGTCTCCTGTCTAGCAAATGCTAAGAATGGGAAAGAAGAGCTCCTCTTGGATATGTCTGAGTTCCATAAAGATATGTTTTAAATCATGGAGGGAGATAAGCTTTGGTTTCTTTTCTTCCTGTTTTTAAAATTCAGACTAACTCAGTGTTGTTGTCTTTATAAATGATAGTATGTATTGCATTTCAGAGTGGCCCCACTTATTTTTTATGACCACTGATGAGAAGTGTGTCATTTTTTGGAATGGAGAAGGTAGAACAGAGTTCTACAACCTCTCTATTTGTCATGGTGAAAAATTAGCAGTTTGTTGACTTTCCTTTTTCATTCATGTTGACTTGTCATCCTTCTTGCTCTCTGGTTTCCTAATCTTGGTAGCTGTTGTTTGAGAGCTTGTCTTTGTAGGGGCAGTGTCAGAATATTACTTGTAGCAGTTGTTTCATTTTAACATACTTCCTCAATGATGTCTCCTCTAGGTTGCATAAGAGCAAAGTTAATATTTTTGAGAACATCCTTTCTCCAGCCTGATACACTTCGTAGAATCATAGGAAGCTGGAACTGTAGGGAATCACTATAACCATGTAGTTTGGCATTCACAGACTGGTGGTCCACCAGTGCTCCTCTCAGCACTGTTTAGTTTGGCTGACATAGTGATTGTTGTTTGTTTGTGTGTTTGTTTTTAATCTGAATCTCTTCAAATAAGGCATGTGTTTTTCACACTGCTATGGCTCACGGTCCTCCTTGATTTCCCACAACTCCCTACTTGACACATTTATGCTACTTACCTAGCCTATCAAGTGTCATGTGTAGTAACTTTAATGTACATTAAACCATGACATTTCCATTTTTTTGGAATTAAAAGATAGTTGAATATTAGAAATTGCATATGTTGCGATCTTGTTGTTTCATAGACAAAAAAGTAGAGGTCTAAAGAATTAATCCCTTCTTCAAAAATAAGAGAGGTACTACCATCTCAAAACAGGTATGTTTTTTCAGGGATTTCTAGGTAAAGGATCATTTTACTAGATTGACAAACATTACCTATTAAAATGCAGTTACCTCTGGGATTTATAATTTTTGAAGCCTTATCACCAAGCATATATGTATTTGAATAATTTATTTCACTTCCCTCCTGAGAGTAAGATTTGATAGGTAGAGGATGATGGAAGGAAATGAACACTAGTGTTCAAGAGAAAAAGAAAAGGTACCACTGAAGAAAGAGTTAGGGCACCCATGAAGAAAAGACAGAGAGAGAGACGACATGCAGAAATAAACTTTAATTCTTATACCTACAGAGGGACATAAAGAGAGATTCACAGGATGGGCAATCAAGGAAGACTAAAGGGAACACAGCTTGCAATTCATAGGAGCTAAGTGGAATTTTCCTGAAGTTCTGTTTTCTCTGTAGATGTACCACTTGTTTTATGTGGATTAATAGTCATCAGAATCAATATGCTCTAAGTGATGTAAGTGAATTTAAGCATTCTTTCATTTAACAGATTCCTAGTGTGAACCATATCTAATGATCAGTCTAAAATTGGGAATAGATTATTTATTGCAGGGCTCTAAGTTATGAGTTTATTTGGTAATTGAGTTGGGACAAAGATATGATTACAGTTTGTTCAGTAGATGCACTATGGCTTAAATAATGCCTCTGAAATGCATGCATGTAGATAAAACTGCATCTGTGCATCTAAGGGAAAAAGTCCTGTCCTTTTTCTTTCAGAATATTGGGAAAATGGGTTCTGATATTAATTTTGGCAGTTAATAAAAGTAAAGAGCTATAACACTGTAGTGTACTCTAAAAATTACAGGGAACAGAGCCGCTTAATTACAAGTGGCCAGTTTTCAGCTTCGTATTCCTATGCTTGTAATGAGAACAGTAGGAATTATTCCTGATTTTTCTAGTTCCAAACATGCCAAGAAAACAATTGCCTTAACCTTGTATCTTCACATTAATAAATCCTAATTATGTTCTCAGTACTGAATTGTACAATAATATCCTTGAAAGTTTATACAGTGCTTGAAGCTACATCATCTCCTTAGATTCCTATGACAACCCCACGAAGTGAGCATCGGTATTATCCCCATTTTTCAGATGGGAAAGGTGAAGTTGGGCAAGATCAAGTGGACTGCCATGAAGTGGCGGGGGTGGCATCAGATCAGAGTCTGCATCGTTTTACTCTAATTCCCTTGTTTGTTCACTCTTTGGATAGAAGAGAGGAAAAAGCAAAGAAGCTTTGTGCCCAGACTGTTTAGCACATTGACCTGTTTTGATACCAATGGAGAGGCTCCAGAAAAAGTTCAGAGATGGCATGCAGATTCTGACAAATAGAGGCTTCTCTAGCCAGTAGACTTGAATATGCTGTAGAGGAAAAGCTACTGTGCCCTGCCTTCATGGCAGGTCAGAGCTTATATTGTCATGCTGTTTTTCTGCTTAAGGGGTCATGGCTCTCTGCTTTTCATTATCTAGGGAAATATCATATTATTAACCAGGGGCATTGAGGGATGTATATGAGAACTAGTGGCACAAATGTGTATAGTTGATATTTCCCAGTGGTCTGCTAGAGAGAGCCTTTTCCAGTGTATTGTGGAATTTCAAGCCACATTAACAGAGAGAAACACTATTCAATGTATCCCTTCTGTCCATAAGGGAGGAAAGTATATAGGGAAGAATGTTCAATTTCTGTTTCTCTATAGTCACAATTAAAAAAAAATTGATAAGGAGTATCAGTCTTCACAAATGAGAAAATTCAGTTAGAATCATTGAAATGATAGTGCTTTTTGGGCAATTATATGAAGATGGCTCATTTAAAATCAGATCTTTCAGTGTTAATTTAAAAGAGAATTTTCTATAATGCTATCACTGGGAGGAGGATGGCTCTGTGACTGGTAATAGGCTGGTAAGTGAGGGCTAAAGTTGACTTCCTCATAGAGCATGTTCATCACTTGCAGAAAGAGCAGTGCAAGTACTTATAGGGGCTGTATTAGGGGAGAGGAATTTTGGGAGAGGGTTATGTCAACTTTCCAAACTTTTTTGTAATGCAACTATACTAACTAGAAAAAGAAAATATGTTTATAATACAATGAGTAATAAAAGCCTTTATTAGATGTTACAATTGTGTTATCAGTTCTACAGATAATTTTTTTTTTTTTTTGAGATGGAGTCTCGCTCTGTTGCCCAGGCTGGAGTACAATGGCGCGATCTCAGCTCACTGAAATGTCTGCCTCCCAGGTTCAAGTGATTCACCTGGCTCAGCCTCCCGAGTAGCTGGGACTACAGGCGCGTGCCACCATGCCTGGCTAATTTTTTGTATTTTTTGTAGAGACGGGGTTTCACTGTGTTAGCCAGGATGGTCTTGATCTCCTGATCTCGTGATCCACCCACCTCGGCCTCCCAGAGTGCTGGGATTACAGGCGTGAGCCACCATGCCTGGCCTCCACAGATATTTTTACTAGCATTTAATTTGGGTGGAAACAGAATAGACTAGCAGCAGTATACATTTCAATTATATATATTTTATATATATGTGAAATAAATGGTCACGTAAGACGTTGGTTTGGATGTGTTGCCATGTGTCCTGCCTGGGTCACTTATTTTTTTTCCTAAGTAGCAAAAAGTGAGTGTAATAGACTTTATAAAGAAAAATACACTCCAAGTAAATTTATTTGGAGTATTAGAGGTTGTGAGCACATCATATACTTTGTTTGTTTCTGGAATCATAGTTCAATTTCAGTTCAAGTTAGGACTTGAACTGAATTTCAGTCAGTAAAGGAACAACTGTCAAAAAGGTTCTGTCTTGATATAGTTGTCTCTTCTGTGGCTTCTTGGTAGCGATGAAATGACCTTACTTGAGTCCATTAAGGTTTTTGGTACTGATGTACAGTGTAAATGATCCATTTTTATCTTTCACAAACCAATATTCTTTGAAAGTACTCGGTGTTTTAGGTGCAATTCAGAAGGTAATAGAGAAGGAGACTCGACCCTCAAGGAAGTTGCAATCTAAAGGCAATCTGTCCTTCAGTGGCGAAATGCTCTGCAGATCTGAAGTGCCTTCCCACTCCTCTGTGGAGAGAAATTGCCTTTCGCTTTGGTGCTATCCAGCGAGAGAGAAGTCCCTGCCCTTAACTATTAGCTTTAGAGAACAATTTGAGGAAGAGGTAAGCCTTCAGAATACTTTTCTAATTTAATGTATCTATTTAAGTTTTCAAAGACCAGAATTTCTTTTATTCGCTTCTGTTGATTTCCTCTGGAAGAACTGCGTTTACATTCAGAAAGCTGACAATTTACAAACTTTGGCCACACCAACTGATTCAGGGGTAAAGAAATAAACCAAGAAATTTTCATCAAGGCATTGGATCCAGTGAGGTAGCCTAGAGAGAAACAATAGGAACTTTTCATTGTCCAGTTAGACATAAACACTCTATACTATTTCATTCCGTAGTACTTGAGTTCTGGCCACAGAGGACCTGACAAGGCATGGAGACAAGATATGTCATTTTTCCTTCTCATAGAGTCCTGATGTTTCTCTCTATGGTTTCAATTTCTGATTATTCCCATGGCTCCTAGTGCTGTGATACCCCTGAGCTCACATCATGCTTATACAAGTTCAAGGAGTGTCTGCCACATTTTATAATGGAGCTTCTGGTCACAGCTTGTTTGAGAGTATTGCTTTTGGCCAGGAAGCAAACAAACAAGCAAAAGAGGCTCTCACTCCTCATTCCATTTCAATTGTTGTAACTCAAAAAAAAAAAAAAAAAAAACCAAAACAAACAAACAAACAAACAAAAAAACACCTAATTTCAAAACTATGATCTTTTAAAAAAGCACTTTCAGTTACAAATAGTCACTTTTCAAACAGATACACACACACAAGTACACGTATACATACACTGATATGATAATGTAGTAATCACAAATAGACTTTTAGTATGCTGTCATATTAGTTTATGAAATTGACTTATAAAGTATAACTCTTATATTGTACATTCCATAGATGATAGACTCTGATATTGTATTTGTTGAAGAGAGGAAGTAACAAGAAAGTCTTAGGATTGCTTTGTACATTTTATAATGTCAACTAATAATTGTTTTATACAGATATTTTAGCTTAGGCCATAGTTCATACTGTTCCTTCTTTGTACATTGAAATGCAATAGCTTTTTACGAAGAAAGTGAAAGTACAAGTGCTAACAAGAACTTGCCATTTTGCCTGTGCATTCTGTTGCAAGCTTTGGTTCTTTGGAATATAAGGTAATGCTGCTAAATATTAAGATAGTTCCTTTACTCTATGTACTTATCCAGTGATAGAAACCACAGCACTCATTTTGTCGAGATGTGTTTGTTTAACTTCTGGAGGTTAACCCAGTGGCAAGTTCATCTTTATTTGATAATAATGAATCAGAAGTTTTATGTGTTTGCTTGAGTAAGATTGCCATCTGGTAAATAATATGTTTTGTGAGTGTTTATAACAATCATGGTTTAAGCCAAAATTGACTTATCATGATTGCTGCAAATAACACTTGAGTGTCCTAACTGGTTTGATTTTTTTTTCTTTGTTGAATTGAGCAAATGTATTTTACGAAGCTTCCTGCGTTTATTTTTAAAGTATTTTATGGGTTTTAAAGCATGAGTTTTCAAAAGCAATAATTACAGCTGATTACTATCTCCATATAGTACTTCTCTAAAGTAGAAAAAAGGATTGTTTATAAAGCAGCATAAGTATTATATATATGTGTATGTGTATATATATATGTATGTATATATATGTATATATATAGTTTTGCCTTCAACAAGTTTCAGGTTTATTCCTTTATGAATTGAAGAACCCAAAACATTTTTACATTGGTAGAATAGCATGTTAAGAAAGTGTGGCTAACAGATCAGCCAAGAGTGTCTTGGTGTATTATTTCTCAGGCAGTAATAGCATTAAAAGCAATTGTGAAAATGGTCTTTAACCCATTATCTTGCCTTAAAAAGGAGAAATGTATGATATAAAAAAGTTTCTTTTTCTTTTCTCAGCCTAAGTAAAACCTGAGACTGTCTTTTTTCCATGCCACATGTAAAACAGCTTTTCTAGTTTCCACAGGATTAATTTTCTATCAGTTCAATTTGAAGACTTCAAGTGATATTCAATGACTTCTTCTTGAAAATGTCAATTAAAATCTTTAACTGGTTGCTTTGCATATCAAAAGGAACTGAAGGAAATGAGTAGTTAAACTAGAAATTTGGGATGAGTCTAGAAAGGGTGTCTATAGTTGGTTAGTTATTTTTGCTTCGACGACCAGGAGTTTGATTCTTCATGGCAATCAATTATTTTTACTCTGTTCTAAGGTCAACATTATGGTCCTTGGCTGTCAGTGACTCTCTTGCTTTGGGTGGTATGATCTGAAAGTAGACTGGAGAGGCTGAGAGTAGAACTGGGTCAACAAAAAGCCGTCTTCTGTTCTTTGAAATATTCTTCTTATCTTTTTTTATATTTTGGAAGACGATTATATCTTCATTAAATGGTCTCCATCTATGTGTATGGCATATGTAGATACTTCCCTGAATCCTGTCTTCATCTCTCTCACTTCTTACTCCTTCTTTTAGGAAGTTTATTTTCACTTATGTGTTCAATTTACACTTACATATGTATGACTTCAAATATACTTTGCTGTCCCCTTAGCTTTAGATCTTTAGCCATAAACATGCCAGCATTCTTGATTACTGATTAATGGCTCCTTCAATAAGTTTTAGAGTTCATTATCATTCCTCTTCTATCATTCCTCCACGACTGTGGACTTGTTGCTTAAATACAATATTGAGTAAAAATATTAAATCAGACATGATAGAGTATAAACTGCATGATTCAAAATAACATGAATTAACCTATGTTGTTTAGGAATGCATAATTAGGTAGTAAAACTATAAAAGAAAGCAAGAATGTGAATGGCATAATGGAATGGTGGTTATCCCCATGGAAAGAGGGGCTTATAATAAGGAGGGGCACACAGAAGACTTCTCTTGCTTGACCTGAATGGGATTATAATGGTTTCTTTTTTTTTTTTTTTTTTTTGGAGACTGGGTCTTATTCCGTCACTCAGGCTGGAGTGCAGTGGTGTGATAATAGCTCACTGCAGCCTTGACCACCCAGACTCAAGTGATCCTCCCACCTCAGCCTCCTGGGTAGCTAGACTCACAGGCACACGCCACCATGCCTGGCTAATTTTCTGACTTTTTTGTAGAGACAAGGTCTCACTATGTTGTGGTTTATTTTATTACAATTAATTAAGCTGTATATTCATGTTTCTGTACATTTCAGTATGTTTGTTACATTTCTAAATTTTTAAAAAGGAAAAATGGGAAAAATATATTTTAGGTTTCTTGACAAGATCACTTTTTCCTTACACATTGTGAAGAGAATTTAAAAATAAATCTATTATTGTATAAAAAGTAATGCCTAACAATGGTCAATAATCATCAAGATCTTTAAGACCACTGATATCCTTTGACTCTGCAATTCCAGTTATGAGCTCCATTGTAAAGAAATAAAATCAGAAGTATATATAGAGAAATATGCATTTGGATATTTATTATGGATTAAAAAGCCCTAAATTTCCCAAAACAGGCGGTTAATTAAATTTAGTATGGCATATTGACAAAATCAAAGACTTGAATCCTTATTCATTAGCAGTCGCACCCTAATATATTTGCTTTTTAAATTTTTAAAATGAAATTTGTTTTTCTAAAGATCTCTTAGTTTGTATACTTGAAAACCATAGGTCAATATTGCAAATAATATATTTTTCTTTATCTGGTGTACCCAATAGTTTGTGTTTTCTGATATCGACTGATCTGACTTCTTTTTCCAGAGGTATATGAGGATTTCTGCTAGTTTTTATGTTGGAAATTTTAGGCATATTCCAAATAGAAGTATGAATTTCAGCAGAAGAAAAGCCATTATTAGGAAAGGGAGTCACTTATAGTATTTCAAAACAAACCCACCATTTCTGCAGAGCTGAACAGTTTACTTAGCCAATGAGGATATAAATATTTGCATATCTGATAGACTAATGCCAGCTCTAGATTTAACACACAGTGCACAGCTGCTGTCGGCTGATGATTTTATTCCTGCAAACTCAAATATTAACTAAACCAAATGATAGATTTTTAGCTTCTGTTAATAGAAGTTTTACAAAATGGCTTGACTACCTGAGATAAAAGACATTCATGTTTTTCCAGGGTAAATGTAATTGCTTATAAAAACTGCCTCAAATTGTGATATTAAAAAAAAGTTTGATGTTAGAGGAAATGCGTGTTAAAAGACAATATTTGAAAAATGATGTAATGCAACAAACTGGGTTTTTAAACCACCTAGTTTTCCATAACATAAAAATAAATCCTTTCTGCTCACTCCAAAAGCAAAAGTCCTGTCAGGATTTACTGTTAGAAAATGTTAACTTTCCTTATTGCTTACATATTTCTGTAAATTCAATACATCTGAAATGTGTTCAACTCTTTGATATATAGCAAATCAGTGTTCTTTATGTTACAGGAGATTTTAAAACTGACTTTTCAACTTTTAAAAGTTATTGATTTTGACACAAATCTATGAAAAATACATCTTCTTGGTTAGCACCACTGCAACAAAAAGAAAAAAAAAAATCCGAACACACACACACACACACACACACACACACACACACACACACACACAACAAAAGCCTGAAGTGAGGTCATCCTCACAGAGATCCGGAGAGGGGAGTGCTTAGAGCAGGCACCGGGAGCAGTGTGATTAAAAAGCAATTTATACCACATTGTCTTCACACTAATAACCACTCCATGTAAAAGCTCCCCAGGAATAAATGTGCTGTGGTAAAAAGTTGAGTCAATTTCACATTTTCAAAACCCAAACACTGTGTGTGTGTGTGTGTGTATACATATATATAATACATATGTATGTGTATATATATATATATATATATATATATATATATATATATACAGATATATGTGTATATATATATATAGAACATTTAGTTAATCCTGTGCAAAAGGAATGGTCTGCTCTGGTGGAGAGCTTTTGAGTTGGGAAGATTGAGTTTTGCCTCATTGATCTTGGTCATTATTTAATTATCTGTACTTCATTTGCCCTTTATGAAAATATGGAGGAATTATTCTTTCCTACTTGTAATGTTGACCAATGATTTAGTACCATCTCAGAAAATATCTTTAATATTTTCTGAAAATGCTAGTAAATGTACAGTATTGTTATACCATGAATGTAAAAAGTTATAATAAACCACTTAATATTAGCTTTCAGAGAAGAAAATCAAAAAGATCATTTGACTCAAATGTTACCCTCACGTTAAAATGTCACCCTTTGTCTGAACCAAAAATAAAAGTCAATGTGGAATCATCCTAAGGTTGTCAGACAGGGTGAGAAGAACATACTAATATTGCCTCATTTTCTTGTTGAGTAGAACCCCTTTGGATAGTTCTTGAAACTCTTTGTGTCTCAGGTTCCTGTTCTGTAAAATTCAGGCACTGGGCAGATGATATTGAAGACCCAGTTTTAGAATTATATCTGTAGCATGAATTAAATTTGTTCCTATTTGAGAATATTTCACTTGACAGTTATTTAGATTATAAAAGCTGAATAATAATTTGAAGGAGACATAATGCAAGAAACTTGATTTAATTAAGAACTAGCTTTTAAACATGTGTGTGGGGGGCAGGGGAGAGGGTCAATAACATATAACAACAAAGAGGTAGAACATCTAAAACTGCCACATATTTCTGGTGGGAACTGTAAAACTCACTTTGAAAAGCTGATGGGAATGTCAAATTTTTTTAAAGATAACCACTTATGATTAAAAATGTTAGTAACTTGATTTAATTGAAACTAGCCTTAAAAAGAAAAAAAAAAAAGAGGGTGGTTACGAGTTCTCAACACTAATTCTTGGTGAAGATGTGATACAATTGATACTCTCATACACATTGTTTGGAGTTTCTTGTAAAGTTAAACACACACCTACCCCTTGTCCAGCAATGCCACTACTACCAAAGAGAAATGAAAACTTACATCCACAATAAAAAACTTGTATAAGAAAGTTGATATTGGTTTATTCATAATAGTCCCAAGCTGGAAGCAATTCAAATGCCCATGAATAGAATAAGTAATTTTTGTATTTTCATACAATGAAATAAATATTAACCAGCAATATAAAGGAAAAAAATACTGCAACACCATGGAGAAAACTCAAAAATGTTATGTTAAACGAATGAAACCTGATGTGATAACATATGGTTCATTACATGAAGTTGAAGAACAGGCAAACTATGAGCAAAAGTTGATTAACTGGAAGGAAACGTGAGAGAACATTCTTGAGGGACTGAAATAATCCATACCTTGACTGGGGTGGTTGTTATACATTTGGAATGAATGGAATATACATTTGTCAAAATAAATCAAATTATACTCTTAAGACATTTGCATTTAATGTAAAATGTAAATTTTACCCCGATTTTTAAAAAAGGGTAAGGGGATGCTTTTATGGTAAGTGGAAAAGTTGACAATGGGAGGATTAAGGGCCTACCTTATAGGAAACAATAGGATGTTAGTGGTTTATGGGCAGGAAAGTAGATATTATTTACAGCAATGATTGGAAGAGATGAATTCACTTAGTCCTGAAGTGGAAAGTGTTCTAAGTTTAGACAAAGCAGTAGTCTATAGTTATTTCACTCTGCCCTTTATGCTGATCGAAAATAAGCAAAAAAAGGAAAAAAAAAATCTCCTTCCTCATTCTTCATGATTTTAGAACTTCAGATAATACAAGTACCTCCTCAAATTTGGAAAATAGTAGACATTTCCTATTCTGAAAGACTGGGTTTGTTCTACATGGTTACTATAAAGGCCCCCAAGTAGTGTAATACATTGTTTCTACACCTAAAACTCAAGAAATACTTGAGGAATTTGCTAGACAAAATACAGTATGAAGGTTTGCGTGCTAGGGAGCAGCTAGTAAGTGAGATACGTTGAAAACTCAGGCAACCAGAAGGACTAATCACTCACCCATTCCTCATGCATTTTTGAGAGTAGATGCAGAACCCTGGGTTTTAACTGTACGTGAATCCAGTCTCCCTGAAAGTGAATGCTGATTAGCATAGCTCTGCTAGGTTGCCTGTTTTCTGAGCACCTAGGCTGCTGTTGATCTGTATGTTCCATAATTATTAGGGTGGGACGTGGGTGGGGAAGTTCATTTGTAACTGATGGGTCAGCTCTAACATAAACAGATTTTGACTCCAGGTTATGATTCATAATACATATTTCTTCCATTAATAATCCGTTCAGTAACCTGAATCAGATTTCATATAATGTAACTTCACAAAACACAGAATCACTTTGTATTGTCTTGATTAATCTGCTATAAATCAGGCTGAAAACTCCATTTTGATATAGATTAAAAAATACCTTCCACAAGTCAACTTCAGACTAGTAAATTAATTGTTTATGTGAAGAGGAACCTTGATGATTTATAGAGTTCCTTTGAAACACAGCATAGTATTTTAAAGGAATTACTTAAAAGAAAAAAAAAAACTTCTGTAGAAAGAAAGATCTCATATGACTTCCTGGTAATATGTTACTTTTTCATTAAATTTGCTTTTTATTTGGAATAGCTTTTGGCCCACTTGCTACAAGATTACATTTTAAACTGCCAACAAAATTATGTTTATCTCACAAAAGAAGTCTAACCAGTTTATTAAAAAGGCATCTAAACATAAAATCCCTGTCTTCAAATATTTGAAGGCCTGTCATGTAGAAGAGGGAGATTGTTCAAGTAGGAAAAACCTTCTGAATGGTAGAAGAGGAGCAGATTTCCAGGGAAATGAAATAATTTGTAATATTTACAGAATGGAAGTAGTTGAGTCTCCTGAAATAGATGTTTATCATCCAAGGTTTCAAGCCTCTGAGGTTAAATACCTCTCAGAAATGTTGCATAGAGAGTTCTGCGGTATGTGAGAAACTGAACCACAGACCTCTACATTCCCAGCAACTCTAAGATTATACTTACATGGTAGACATGAGTATTTTTTAAATGATACTTTCTTTAGAAACAGGTATCTATAGAAAAGTGATTTCTAGCATTGCCATAGAATGACCACACCACTTTTAGAAGAAAGAGTTGTTTATTATACTCCTTTCCTAAAACATGAAATTTTGGACAAATTAGGTAATTCAGCCCTTCTTCAGTTGCTCCAGGAACTTAGAATTTATCTCATAACCTACCCCAATTTTGTAAAATTCTAATTATTAATGATTTCTTCTTTTACTAGGCCTGCAGTTCTTCAGATGTCATTCAGGTACCCTGGGAGTCCCTGAAACCCTTTTAGGGTGTCCTCATGGTCAAAACTATTTTCATAATAGTACTAAGATATTATTTGCCTTTTTCCTTTTTTTTTTTTTTGAGATGGAGTCTCCTTCTGTTGCCCAGGCTGGAGTGCAGTGGTGTGATCTCGGCTCACTGCAAGCTCTGCCTCCTGGGTTCACATCATTCTCCTGCCTCAGCCTCCCGAAAAGCTGGGACTACAGGCACCTGCCACACACCCAGCTAATTTTTTGTATTTTTGGTAGAGACGGGGTTTCACTGTATTTGCGTTTTTCATTCTTATTCTCCACAAGAGTACAATGGAGTTTTCTAGCAGCTGCGCGATATACAACATCATCACAGACTATATATAGAAGCAGATACGAGAATACCACTGTCTTCTAATAAAGCAGACATTAAAGAGCCATCAAAAAAATGATAAACAATGCCACTTTTGTCTTGGAAAATAGCTGCTTTTCATTAAAAGTGTTATTTATGTTTACATATGATGGGTTATTTATTAGTTTAGATAAGTAATAAATATTTTTTAAAATTTCTGTTTTAATTTTTTTTTTAATATCCAAAGAGATTTATTCTGAGCTAAATATAAGTGACTATGGCCTATGACACAACCCCAGGAGATCCTGAGAACATGTGCCCAAGGTGGTCGGGCTATAGCTTGGTTTTATACATTTTAGGGAGACATAAAACATCAATCAATACTGCTAAGATATACATTGGTTTGGTCTGGAAATGCATGACAACTCAAAGTGGGGTGCTTCCAGTTCATAGGTGGATTTAAAGATTTTCTGATTGGCAATTGGTGGAGAGTTTATCTAAAGACCTGGAATCAATAGAAGGGAGTGTCTGGGTTAAGATAAAGAGTTGTGGAGACCAAGGTTCCTATTATGCAGATGAAGCCTACAGGTAGCAGTCTTAAGAGAGAATTAATTTCAAATATGGTAAATATCAATAGATACAGCCCACATAAATTATAGTGAGGGTAAAAGAGTTATGAAATCAAAACATTTGATAACTGCTCTGGCAAGTCAGAGACTCCTCCCCAGCTGGGCACGGTGGCTCACACCTGTACTCCCAGCACTTTGGAAGGCCGAGGTGGGTGGATCACCCGAGGTCAGGAGTTCAAGACCAGCCTAGGCAACATGGTGAAACCCTGTCTCTACTAAAAATACAAAAATTAGTCAGGCGTGCTGGCGGGTGCCTGTGATCCTACTACTAGTGAGGCTGGGCCTGAGAATCACTTGAACCCAGGAAGCAGAGGTTGCAGTGAGCCAAGATCACGCCATTGCATTTCAGCCTGGGTGAAATGAGACTCTGAAAAAAAAAAAAAAAAAAAAAACCACTCCTCCCTTCTTATTACTTTTACCCATGAAACCTAGATCTACCTAAGATATATTCAATATCTATGTGATCTGAGAATCTTGCAAATACTTGAAGACAGTGTAATAATTTCCCTCTCTTAGTCTCCCCTCTGCAGATAAAGGGCCATCAGTTCCTTCAGGCACTAGACACAACATATGATTTTGAGTTCCCACACTATTTGATAGGTCTTTTTTGAATGTATTTCAGTGAGTGATGTATCATCTTAAATATAGCACTCAGAATAGAGGAAAAATATTGTAGGTCATACATTTAATGGTAGAGTGGGACCATTATCTTTATTATTGGAATTTTGCTGCTATTCATACTGCTAAAGATTGAATTAACATTTCTGGCAGCTATTATCATGATTTTTTGATACACATGGAGCTTACAGCTAACTAAGATTCCCAAATGCTTTTCAGTTAAGCTACTACTTCTAGGCTACATTTTCCAGATCTTCAGTTTTTGTAATAATTCTCTTTTTATCCAACTGAAGATTTTACTCCTTATTAAATTGAATCTTATTTCATTTACCCTAATTATTACAACATGCTGGGATATTTTACAGATTGCCATTGTGCATCTGAAATGTTAGTCTTCTCAGCTTTGAGGCATCCAGGTATTCAATAAACATGACATTTACATGTGAATCAAATCATTGATGCTGGACAAGGCCAAGGGAGGAGTTCTGTGGTCCATCACCATAAAATTTTTTCATGAGGAAGGTATTTTCCCTCTTCAGATACGTCATCACTTTCCTTAGAGGTGGTCTCTTTGTGTCCTGACTGAACTCACTCCTATGAGCCATAAAATTATTGTTGACCTTCAAGAACTACTAACTATCCTGTCACTTATCTTCACACGTACCCTGAGCTTCACATCGCCCTCCATATGTTTACCTTTTTATATGAGAACAGTGCTATTTGAAAGAAAGCAGGACCGAGTTGAATGGCTTTACTTTCTGTTATCAGTTATTTTATACCTTCTTCCCCATGTAGACCTTCTACCACTTTTATCTTTCTCTTACTCTAGACATAGCTTTAGAAGACTTTGTGTTGTCATTAGGGTTTCTTACAAACCTCCTCTTATTTTGGACTTTCTACTCAAGTGACCCTGTTCCTTCTTGCTAGGGTACTCTCTTCACCATTGGTTAATTATTCCTCCTGGAACCTACTGTACAAACCTTTACAGAAACTGCAGTTGTCAGGTTGTTCCCTGGGCTGCCACATGACCTGTTTGGATACTTGTCTCTTCTGTAATGTCTCCCTCTTGTCATGAGCAGCTTTTGTTTTCATCAGTTTCTGACCTGGGTTCTTGCTTATCTTTCTACGTAACACTTTGAGTCCACCTTTTCTAAAGTTTGTGGTATCCATATGGTTATGTTTAGCTTTTTCTTATTTTGGCTTCTTGAACTCTGAAATAACACAATCATTTAAAAATATCTAATGTTCAAAATCTTGTAAGTTTAAAATTTTTTATGACATTGAAATACCATATTTATTTTCAATTTTTTTCTCTTACTACCAAAAATACATTTATCTTGTCTCTGGGATAGAATACAAATGTTTTGTTTTCATGGAATGTTTGATGTTAGTACAACTTGCCATGTGGTAAATGGCCTATATGTATTTGTTGACACAATGCTAACTCCTTCAAATATACTTTATTTCAATTAGAAAGTATTTTATTAGTGTATCAATGTTCCTAGCTTTTACCTACCATGGTAAAGTAAAAGTAAGAAAAATATGATTAGGTCTTTGTTTTCAAATAATTTATTGAGTACCTGTGAAGAAAAGGCAGAGTAGCAAAACAAAAAAATAAACAATAAAATAATCAGGTGACAATATATCAATTTGTTTAGCTGTTCATTTAGCAATGACTTATTGAGCAACTACTATATACCAGTTTCTTCAGTAGGCACCTGGGACACAAATATGTAAGGTATAGGCCATGTCATTAAGGAATACCAATCCAGTGGGGGTGGGGAATTCATATGATAATAATACAGTATGGTGAAAGCTAAGAGACATATACACATGAGAGACTATGGGAACCCAAGGAAAAGGAAACCAATGAGGCTCATACCCCTCAACTCCACAGAAGAGGAGCAGGAATTTTAATCATGGATTGGTTTTTACCAGGCGGCAAGATGAAAAGCAGATTTCTTCAGAGAAGGGGACAAAGCGTGCAAAGGGGAAAGCAAAAGAAACTGGGCCATTTGACATGGTTGAGTGTTTGCTTTGTATATTAGGGGCAAGGGCTGGAGGTGAGTGATACAAAGCAGTAATTTGAAATTTAGTATTTAAGCCAGTAGTTTTCTAATTGTGCTCTCTGAAATCCCTTACGAGCAATGGGATGGGAGCTGTGAAGATAAGAAAGCTGATCTGCAGGGCTCTGGGCTTCTCACCCCCGTTTTCACCAGGACAGCTTCTCCTTTGTTTGTTTTATCTACTGGACTTTTTAGTCAGGTTTTCTTGAAATAATTGTTTAAAGCTTTTTTGAAAAATGAAGCCCATTGCAATGGACAAAGGGGATGTCCTGATAAACAGGGGGCCAATATGTTCATCCCAGGGGTGGTGTGAAGGATAGGTGGAAAACAGGAAGACTAGTTAGATTGCCATTGTATTTACATGTTCATTCTTTCAAAATGTATTTATTGCACACCGACCCCAAGCCAGGTTGGAGTCGGGAAGTACAGAGAAAGTTTTGTGTCTGACAACTTGATCACAGAAGCAAGATTTGAAGTGGTTCTTGAATGATGTGTAGAAGATAAGGAAGGCTGAGCCTTTTACTTGCTTTTTTTCTCCTTGTAATTTTTCATTTTGATGAAACTTCAAACTTACAAAAAAGTTGCATTTTATCTACTTTAAAAATAACTAAATCTTGTAGAACATATAGAAACATAGAAATGTTCATAGTTATATTTATTTTTCTATATTATTATAACATATATAACATATAATGTTTACATTTCTTTAAATATATTTCTATTTTATAATGATGGAGATAAAAATAACCACTATATTGAATTCTCAAGTAATCCATGCTGTGACTTTGAGAGCCTGAATTCTCAAGGATAAAGTGACACTCTTGTTTTACTAAGATAAACATAGCTCCCTCTCAGTCACTGTACCCTACCATTAACGCTAATGTGAAGGCCTAACCTGGGGCTGTGCCCTGCTTCGTGGTCCAGGTGGACAGGGAGCCCAGATGAACATTCACGTGCTTCTAGAACATGCATAGTCTGCTCTGTTGGGCTTTGCATTGGGTTATAAGATAGAGCACATCTTGAAGAGTGTCACACCATTACACTTTTGAAAGAATTGAAAGAAAACCTGTAAGGCCAATTGAACAACTGGAGTTCTATCTTGAGGATGGAGTTAGTTGGGAATCCTTTGTGGTTTACTATGTGCCAGGCTATACGTTCATCCAATTTCTCATATTATTTCATTTAATTCTGAGAGCAAAAGGATAAAGGAAGAGCTATTATTATTCTCATTTCATAAGTGACAAATTTTCTATGCTGCAGCTCAGAGTTGCTCCGTAACTTTCCAAAGACCATAGATAGTATGTGGCAGAGCTGAGATTCAACTTGGGTGTGGTTGGGTTGTACTCCAAAGACCAAGCTCTTACGTAGTATTGTTCCCTGATGTTTCAAACCCATGCTCAGAACAGAGATTTGGTCAGAAACTCTTCTGGGAGAGGCCTGTGGGTACTTGACAGCTTCAGGCAGTCATCTCAGCTCCCGGCTCTCACAGCCCTGTCCCCTGGGCCTGCCTGTGATCACTGCTCTGTTGGCGAGGACTTGTGTGCTGCTGATAGAGATGGGAAAGTCGGTGGCTTAAAAATTTAGAAGGTTTTCTCTCGTGTGAAGGAAAGCTTTAAGAGGGTAGTGCAGGGTAGGCAGGCACTTCCTAGGCTCATCTGGAGCCTGAGTTCCTTTTATGTGTATGTTCTACCATCTTTAATACCAGTCGGTAGAAAGGTGGCGACTGAATCTCCAGCTGTTGTATACAGGCAGGAAGAAAGAAAGGGGGAAGCAGGACAGTCTCCAAGTGTCTGTCAAATCATTAAAAGGCCTTCTTTGTTAACTTCTCATTGGCCAAAACAAAGTCACATAATCACATCTAGATGCAGAGTAGCCTGGGAAATAAAAGCTTTTAGCTGAGCACATTGCCTCTTTAAACAAATGCAAGGTTATTACGACAACAGAAGGGGAGAATGAATATTGGGTGGGCAACAAATCCTCCCTGACACATTTTCCTAACCTGAGGTTTACCCAGTTTATTTCTAGGTTCAAAGACTGTCCACTGAAACCTGTGCTGGGTCTCTACTCTGGCTTAAGTGCTGAATGCTGGCTTAGTGAATTATGACATATTTTTATAGTGTTGTTTGTGAAATTGACAACCATTGTCTTTAATTCTGGATCTAAAGAGTTGGAACCTACTCAGGAATATTGTTTTCTAAATCTTCTTTGAATCTTTGAACACATGGCTATCATGGGACAGAGACAGCACTTGTCTCCATTACACCAGTTAAGGATCTGAGGCCAAAGAGATCAACAACCTTTATTCAGAGTTGATGCAAGGTACTACTATCTCTGACATTCAGACTAGTGACGTGTGTGTGTGTGTGTGTGTGCGCGCGCGCGCATCTTTTTTTATGCTTTCAAGTCATTCAGTCAAAAGCAGGGCTTCTCAAGGGTAGAGGAAGGACCAGGACTTTCATGTATGTTGAGAAAAATTATCAAGAAAAAAAAAAGGAAGCACCCTAAAACAGGACCCCTAAATTGTCATGTTTCCAATGTTACATCTGAAATGTACATTTTAAATGTTTACAAGTAAACATTAACGTTTTACAGTCACTTCTTTTATCCTCAACACATACACACCCAACCCCCTTAACAATCCCGTAATACTGTATCATTGTGCAAAATAGAATCTTAGCATTTGTTTAGAACACTAAATATTAAGGTCAATGTATAAGGATAGGGTAAAGTATGCTGCAGCAACAAACAAACCCCAATGTCAGTGGTTTTATACAAACAAAATTTATTATTTTTCTTCATGAAAAGTCCACTGCAGATCTAGATGATTCTCCAGGGGTTACCAGTGATTCAGCAATCTAGGCTAATTAAGGCTTCATTTTTCCACCTTTTTGTCCCTGCCAGGAACACGCAGCCTCTGTCTACTATGCAAGAGTGGAAGGCTACCGGAGAGTCCAGAAGATATGTTAGCTCACTTTTCATCATTTAGATCAAGTCAAAAAGCCTTGTTTGTAACTGCAACAGAGTTGAGAAGTGAATTTTCTGAGTTTCCAGAAGAAGAAAAGAATATGAACACTATCTTTACCATTGCCCACTAATGGGAGAAATTTTTAAAGTGGCATAATGAATATCATCTTTCAATCCTGCCAATGTTTCTCTATGACTGCATGTATGATGTTGGCTGAAATTTGAGGTCCTTTGTGAATGTGAGGTCAAGGCCAACTGACCCTATATTCCTCTTGCCAAATCTGTCCCTGGTAGACCAAGATAAAGTGCAGGAGGTCCAGGATTACCATCAAATAGCAACAACCAACATGCCTTGTATATGTGAGTTTCTGAGACTGCTATGTCAGTTGTCAAGCACACACTTAATATGTAATTTTGAATAAATGTTGGATGGAGGAGTGACTTATTCTTGGAAGCCTCCTTCAAGTTCAGACACGTAATTGAATATTATTTCTAGTGACTTATCTTGGACATCTAGTCTGCATTCATCTTTTAACAGTGTCCAATTGAAATTTCATATACATTTTGAAAGCAGAAAGTCCGTCTGCACTCTTTGGGATGAATCTTTGTTCAGGATACTTCCAAGCAGGGTCCCTAACAAAAGAGAAGGATAAAAACCCTCACCTAAGAAGAGGGTTGGGGTTGCTTGTGAGTTACTGTGATCATAGAGGGTATCTAACAATTTCCTAGTCCCCTTCCTCAACAGCTGTGGTCGTCTGATAGTAGGTCTTTCTATGCCTTTTTGTGTTTCTCTTAAAAAGTTGAAATTTTAAGGTGCTACATTTAACCATTTGCCCCCATGCAGTCTGATTTACATACCATAAATTTGAAGAGATGTCTATCTTTAGATATTAAGTTATAATTTTGAAAACAAAAAAGTGCCATCCATGGCATTTCACTGGGTAGTAGGTTGTATATTTTTATATCACAGATGGAAAAAGAAAACTAAGACGAAATTTTGATCTAGAGCACCAAAGGAATTGCCATTTGAGCATGTGTGTAGATTTCTTAACTAGCAGTCTAGGTATACTTCCCATATTGATTCTATTTCATTGAGCATCATTTGGGGAAGATGCATTCGTTGGCTGTCATAGATAATGGATAGAAATTGTGGTCATATACATTGAATTGTACCTGTATTTTCACCTCATTAAGACTGGTGAACACCTAACCAGAATAATTAAAGAAGGTGCATGTATGTCTGTGTGTATGTGATGGGTTTGGGAAGCAGGGAGGGGAAAGGACACCACTGAATACCCTCTGCCACAAGTAGTGAGAACTGATAAGAAAGATGGTTAATGAATTACTAGTGAGTAGAAAGAAAAATTTTTCTTGCTGTAGCTATCAAGTCCAGCTTTTCATTTTTTGTTTTTGTGAATGAGGAAATGATCTCGTTATTACTTTATTGATCTAGGCCAAGTGCTTAGATACATTTCTCTCAATTTTTGAAGTAAAAGTTTCTTTGTTCTCAATTTGAAAAGGATTTTCTTTTCTCTTCTTTTTTTGGTCAACCCCTCTGTGTTTCTGCAATATCGGGCCACCAATATGACTCCAATAGCACAGTCACACATGTGATGAGATGAGGGACAGACATGGGAGCAGATTGTCCCAGGCGGCTACTTTTCTGTTGACTTGGACGCAATCCTAGGGGAAAAATCATTTTAAATAAGTTACTCTCTTTAAATCTTAAAAGTTTCTGGGACAGCAGGCAGGGACTTGGCAATGTGCTGGTAATGTGTTTTAGCCAGGATGGTCTTCAGAAATATGCTTGAGAATTATTAACTTGTCTGGGCATAATTTAGCAGTATTTACTGTCTGTTCCTCTGAGTCATTGCACAATCTGTACTGTCCCTGGGATATTTAGACCTTCCTGGCCTGGCCTATTTTGTCATGTAATAATATATAAAAATACAACCATTCTTAAAGTGCAAGCATGTACCCTGTCGGAGTGTGACCTCTTTAAGTTAATTTTTATGCATCAAAGTATTTGATATTTACCCAAACATATTCAGATCTCTCACGCGGTGTTTTTTGTTTTTTTAATTTTTAATTTTTTTTTTTTTTTAATGACAAAAACATCATTGATCTGACAGCTTGCTCTCCAGGGAAGAGATATTGTGGATAGCTTTAAAGCCTAGATGCTTCCAAAGTCCTTTTCTTCCACCAGTCCCAAAGCAGTATGTCTGGAGTCGGGGCAATGCAGCTTGCCACCATGGCAGCTGGGAGTTTGACAGTGTTATGAAGAATTGCAACTGTTGATCAGTGAATTGTTACAGTGTTGATGACAGCGTTGCAAATTAATTCTGAAATTAACTGAGGGGACATGAAGAGGTCCCACTGCTTATCTGAGAGAAGGAGGGCAGGGTAAAAATTATTGGTGGAGATGAGTGAATATGAGAATCACATTCAGAAAATTGTGTCTACCAATCAAGGTGGTGGGTACAATTTCCATAGTCTTTGGGAGAGGCATCTGCCTAAGGAAAATTGGTGGCTGAAAGATACATGAAAAAGAGTTATGACTGAATGTTTTCAGTACTTTGTTATTTTAGAAATGATTTATTGAACTCATTGCATCTTAGAGAGGAAGAATTAATAGGTTGCTATTTTCCTTCTGTTTTAAAATTAACCCAATATTTTACAAAATTGAAACAATTTTTCAGAGTTTCTCTTCTTCTTCCTGCCTCCCTCCACAGTTTTGTAGCAGGATTTTATTTATTTTTTATTTTTATTTTTCCAAATGAAAGTACCTTCTAGTTCTGAGTCTTATTTTGGCTACGTGTACAGAATGCTGTGTACCTGAAACCAGAGGTATCCTTCACCAGTTTGTAGCAGCCATTAACATATGCTTTTCCCAAGGTTTCGTGTACTTATTCTGAGCATGTGCCTTTTACAATGCAGAACACAAGAGACTTGTTTTGTAAGATTAATGAAGGTCACCAAAATTCTCAAAAGTATTCTGATAATTAAGGCTTTGTTTATCAAAAACAAGTTATATTAAGAGCAAAAAGATTCATGGTAATTATTCATAATCTTAACAATTCAAGTGTAGCCACCTCATTTGTGCATTTAATTCTTCTTGTTAATGTTTTGCATAAATCTGCATAATTACTTGAGTTGCCTGTTGTAATTTTGACAGCTACTCAGTTCATGTGCACTAAAGTATATCAAAAGCTTGATGTGCTGAATATTTATAATTTTACGTATGTTCTTGGGATAATATTTTTTCAACAATATTTTTAGTTTTTATAAAATTGACACGGTATACTTGGAAACTTTGCCAAATGTAGCTCTCTAAAATAGAGAGCTCATCAGGGAAATAAACTAACATTTAAAGGTATAGAACCCACCCCGGGCAAATTTTTTCAGTAATCCAGATGAATTATGCCTGTCATGAACTATTTTTCTCTCTCAATCTTTCTCCCTTCCTTTTCCTTTATCTTTTTTTCTCTCTGTGTCTCTTGCTCTCTCTCACACACACATACACACTAACACATATATGATGCAAAAACTTCAGATTATGTTTTTATAGAAGTCTTTTAAATTTAGGACACAAAGTTTTTCTTTTCTTGTTTTAAATAATTATTTTGTAAGGATGGGAATAGCCAGATGCTTCCCTTCTGGATATTAGTAATAGTGTAATAAGTAAATAACCCCAGGAAAAACTCTAACCAAGTCTCATTAAACTTGCATTGTCACCTGAATTCTATAGTGGAAGGGAGAAGGCTATAATTCATTTTGTTATGTAGTTTTTAAAATGAAGGGAAGTGTTTTACTCAATGGGAGTTTCTTAGCAGGCGGATTTTTTAGGTAATATAAGATGTCCAAGAAATAGCCATTCCTAATCAATGTAGTCACAGGGAAATAATAGTAGTAAGAGAAACCCATCACTAAAGTGATATTATGCGCCATCCAAACTCCTGTTGAGGAAAAGATTTTATGGATTGAGAAAATTCTAACCTCTTCCAGATAAATGGAAGCAGGCATGATTTTAGAGTGATAGCAGATGTTGCCATTGTTTGTAAATATCCCTGTGCTTGTGAAATATTGAGACATTTCAAGCCTAGATCTTAGAGGAAATTTTATTGGTTTTTCTCAGATATACTTGGGGGAGTTTCATCAGTTAGTTGAAGTTGTGTAATTGATTGTGCTGATATCAGAATTGAAATAAGATATTAAAACAAGGTAAGCTTAAAATTCTTGTCACTGACATTCTTACAGATGATTTTGAAGTATCTCTGAGGTTCTGTTTTACATGGAAACACTATGGTTTATTCAGATTGCCCAAATTTGGTTAGTTCATTGGTTTAATAAACATTGAAGGTGCCGATACTTTCATGAAACATTCTGTAGCATCTGCATACACCATTAAATAGGAGATGACATTCCTTGGATGTCGATTTAATAATTTAATATTGTTTATAAATAATGTTATTCTAAGAGTAGTACAATATCCATTTGCTACACATAGGCATTTTGACCGTAACACTTTTTTCAAAAGTGATGTAAATGTATTAGCTTTCCACTATTAAACAGCCTGCCAGTATTTCTGAGCTATTATAATCACTTAAATAAGGAAGCCAATGAATGAAAATGATTACCTAAGAGAACAAAGATCTTATTTATTTATTAGAACTAAGCTCCTATGAGATGGCAGAAGCTCCTCTCATGAAAACAAATTGCATCAGTAATCCATTAACAGAGTTTTTTGTTTTTTGTTACTGTTTTTTTCCTAAGACTTCTCAATGCATTGAAAACATCATTCGATTTTAGACTACTGGGAGTTGCTAAATACACTTATTACTATGGGATTATTTTGCAAAAAAAAAAATGAATAAAAAGGGGAATTTTTAAGGTGACCAAATATCAGATAGATTTATCTAGAGTTTTATATATAGGTATTTCTGTGTATTTGTGACCTGTATGTCTCCATGGATGCAACTTGTGCATACAGACACACACATATGCACATTCACACACACACACACCTGAGATTGATTAAAGTTAAAAGTGCAGTCATGTGCTTCTATTTTTCACCTTAATGAGCACTCAGAAGTAAGTGAAAAATTAAAAGGTGGTTGGTTATATTTAGCTGTAGCTGTACACTCAATATATGTTGCACACAGTAGGAAATGAACATAAAATCAGTGAAAAAGCCTCAACATTGCAGCTATATGCATTAATTAAAAGAAGTTTGTTAAACTAAATTTGAAAAAAAACTTCTTTAATTGTGTTTACCCAAAAGGCTTTTCTTCCTAATTTAAATAGCATAAACATCTGGACTAAAGCAATATTAGAATCATGGCAGTAGTCAAGCAAATCTTGTGGAAAATAATGAAATTAGATCCCTGGTGTTGTGACAGAGTAAGGGCAGGATACATCAGTTCGATGTTAATAAAATTTCCATGAATGACTGAATACAATTAAGAAATTGTCAGTTGCGGCAATGAACTTTTGTAGCTCATAGATGTTTGCATCATTTGATTATGCTGGCAATTTAAAATTGTTTGTTAGTGTCTGTGTTGGGATATTAATTATGACCTTTATTACAGCCCACAATTAAACTAGTCATATAGCAACAAGCAAACTGTGTTGTGATACTGAAGGATCTGAACTATTTACAAAGAGGTCTGTTGGGTTTGGAGCCACCAGTGCCCTTTCAAACTGGAAATGATTTTAAAAGATGCAGTAGTTGAGAAACCACAACAACTGGGATGAGTAAGCCCTTTAATACAAGGAGTTCTTTTTAATAGTGTTTTAACAGTTTTAATTGCTAACAACATCTGTAAAACTGGAAAAAAAGCATTTTTAACTGTGACTCTAAGATAAGCTTTCCCTGTTCAGGAAGAGAAAACAATTATTCATTGGTTAATTAGCTGTAAACAACTTTTAAAAGATACATTCATTATATATGTAATTATTTGAAAAAAGGCTTCAATGTTATTTGTACTAATGCATAATTATTAGTGCTTGCTAAAAGGATTAACAGGACTTAGATGACCACTATTATTGCGGAGTAGCACAGTGAAGAGATGAGATTAGCATCAGGAAGGAATGTGTTATGATGAATCAGATAGGAATTTTTTGTTTTTGCTTTGTTTTTTCTTGTTTGCACACGGTAGTAGAGGTCACGTGGAGTCACATTATATTTTCAGAAACAATGTGTTTCAACCTCAAGTAATAGTACTTTTCATCTTTGTTTTTATGACACATAAAATATCTCACTAGACAAGTTTTTCTCTCCTAGAGTTATATTGTTGCTATGATTTATTATCTGTTCATTTATTTGTTTATTTACTTATATTTACCTTTGAGAGCTTTAAAAAAATCAACACTAAGTTATATTTTAAACTTGTGGTTATTAAAAACAAACTAGTTACCAGTAAAACCATGAGCTAGTTAGTCTCACTTGTGCTTATTGCAGCCACTGTATTATATTTATTAGATCATGTACCATGTTCCCTATAGCATGTTTGCTGTTTCACAACTATTGGTAGAAATTAAGTACAATAAAAATAGTTTGGTCTGATGTTTGAATTTCAGTAGATGAAGTTCAGTGTTGACCTGCTTCTAGTGTTCAGTGATTTGGTTGAAACAGAATAACTTGGATATTTTGAAGTAGTTTGGGTATTAGCTTTTCTCCTCCCTGCCCTCTATGTTTTGTTTAGCTTCCTCTTCCCATTACATTTAATTGGCTACCTGATACCATTATTACAGACTCAAAGTTGTGCATTTCATGCTGCAGTGATGTTGATAAAGATATTGCATAGCCTGGGGCAAACCCAGGGCTTTTGTACTTTTTACTACTGTATATTATAATTAACTCATCTTAGGTGGGCCAAAGGTTTGTCATGGGCTTTCTTACCACAACAGCCTGGATTTGATTCCACTCGAGAGCCCCACCACCCCCACCCCAACCCGCCAGTCTTTTTTTTTTTTTTTTTTTTAAGAAAGAAATGAAGTTCTGGAGCTTTGGTTTCAGCATTTGCAAACCTGTTTCCCAGGGTGCCAGTTAAAATCCCAGTGGTGGTGACTCATCTCCTTTATTTCTCCTTAAGGCCACTGTGAGATGAGACCTCGCCTGGAGCACTGTGCAGACAGAAAAACTATTGCATATTCCCAATAAGATAGGCTTTCCTCCGAAGTCCTTGATCAAGTTTTCTACTCTAAACTGAGAATGTTAGTGTCTTTGTGAGTCACTCCAGCCTCTATTACAGAGCAATAATATTTTGAGTTTGAAAATTTTTGTAGCATTTGGTATGAGCTTGCCATCTCTAAGCATTGCAGTTTTTGTCTTGAGTGACAGTGATGAGGGGGCAAGCCTGCTTGGGCTATCACGTTGGCTCAAGTAGCTAAGCTAAACTCTCTCATGCCTTGAGAGACCTTAAATGTGACATTATTCCAGTGTCTATTGAACTTTGAGTGTACTTGAGCACTAGTCAATCTGCTGAATTATCGGATACCTCCCCTCAATTTCTCCCCCATCTTTATCATGTGTCCTAAATATTTGAAGGAGGCGAAGGTGTCAGGAAAATTTACCTATAAAATCCATTCATTTATTAAATATTAAAATTCCAAATTCAAACACAGCCATGGCCTTTAGCATACAGGGAGTTCTAAATGAATGCTGTAGCACTGTTATTTTTGTTAGTTGACAGGGAAATTATTACATTTTTAAGGATTTGTGAATTTAAGCATAGATGATTACTTTGAACGTTGGGGTTTTGCAAATGGGAAGCCTTGTTGCTCAATTTACTAATTTATTTTGTGATCTGTGACTAAACTGAGTAAAAATGCAAATAGTACAAGGCCCTTTCCATTTTATCACCAGATCAGTTTACTGATGGGAGGATCAGAGTCACTAAACACTCCGACACTCTTGTGATTCCTAAGTAGTTGGGCATTAAAAGCCGCTAGTGAAGACTAGGAAGATTGTGGTGGTTCACACAGGGAGGTTTAAATGAAATCTAGTTATTTATTTTAGGTTTAAAATGAAGAGTCTCCAGCTCAGGTTTATTGGCCATTGTGACAGTACAAACAGGTCTCTTCCCCATCACATGCAACAGTAAACTGCATTGCTGGGAGGTGGCAAACTCATGCAAAAAGGAAAGCACTTGACAAGGGCTGAGTGAATAATGCTGCGAGCTTAAAAAGACCCTGTTAAATGCCTTTGTATGTTATTTGTATACAATTTCTGATTCTTAAAAACTGAAAATTATATTTTTGATTCTTTTTCTTCTCGCATTTTTATAGTGATCAAATAAGTTTCCTTTAACATTATAATATTAAAAATAATTCAAGAGAATGTATTTTTTCATATTATATATTAAAATGAAGTTAGGTCATCAAGGGAACACTAACGAGGGACGCTATTGTGGTACAGTGCATTGCTATATATGTTTAGAAACATTAGGGGTCAATTGAAATCCTGATATGATTTAATCAGCATTTAACATGTGATTTATTCTGAAAATCCAGTAGAGAAACTATGAAATTCCTCTACATAGTAGCCATTCATAGACTGAAATGCCTTTTAGTAGAAAGAATGGAAAACGTGTTCCCAAATGGGAAACATAATCCCAAAAGCGATCCACAACCCATATTCAACATCTCAACAATATGAGATGTTGATATGAAATGTAAAATGAAATGATCTGATATGGCATATAAGTTGATTTGTTTAGCATTGTCTCTTTCAAAAGTCTCTTCTTTTTTGTATTATACTTTAAGTTCAAATGTCTCTTCTTTAGAAATTATTGAATCAGACTAAGTGATGTAGCTCATTTGTGCAATAGGTCAGGGACTGGGTTGCAGGAAGCACACACATGTAGTCTACAATTCACTACCCAAAATCCCTGAGACGGAGACGTGTTTAGAAATTTTCTTTTAGAAAGGTACTATGGTGCATATACCGCAGATTATGCAATATCTCCAGCTGGGTCTGGGGCAGCACCCTATAATCAAACACATTCATGTTTCTGCATCGCAGTGTATGAATATTCACATTGAGTGGGATAAATAAAGATTCTAAATAATCTTCTTGAAATTAGTTCAGGTCTGGTTTTGCTGCCACATGAGTTATGAAAAGCCTTTCATAGCTTTTTGTTTTCACAGTTGCAGATGGGAGATTGTGGACCAGTGTTTCTATACTCAAGAGACCCCTCCAGTTACCTTTGGTGTCATAGGTTTTCATTTTTATATCAGTCAGGTCATAATATGTTGCTTTAATCAAACAAGCGAGTAGGGACAAATATGGCAAGAAACTTATGGTTAGACCTATTTGTTTAAGTCAACAAATATTTATTGATTAACAAATATGAGCCAGGCACAGTGCTGGGCACTTAGGGGGATATAGAAGAAGTGGAATCATGGTCTCTGCCCTGGTAGAATTTATAATGAAATTAGACACATGAAACTTTCTCTGTCTCTATTCCTCTCATACACACATACACACACACACACACACACACACACACACCCCTGCAGAATAATACCGAACATATATGAGCAAATGCCAAATTGAGTGTTCCAAAGAATACATGCTTTAAGTCAGCAATGGAAAATATGTTTCAAATCACCTGCCAAATCTTATCGATTGGCAGTGGCTGCTTCTGGCGCTAATATCGATGTTTCTAGCTAAGCCTGAGGTTAGCTGCAAGAGTCTCCTTATTGATTATCAATGTATGGCTTGGTGGCAGGAGAGTGGAATGATAACACGCCTAATATTTGCATCTCTTCAGATCTAGGTAGTCAAAGTCTAGGAAGGATTTCTTTTTGAAGACGGATAATAACTGCTGGTGAAATTTATTATTATTCTTTAATTATTCTTTGTCCATTAAAAAAAAACCCTTGGGAGTTAGTTATTTTCAAAAGTTTAAGAGCATATTCATGGAATTACCACCTGTGTTTAGAATTTTAAGATCCTTTAAATAATTATAGCATCTTTTTGGGGTGCACAATTCTGAGGCTGTAATTTTACGTATGGGACAATAAAATTTAATGTAACAAACTAGATTATAATCATATGGATTAGTAGTTGAGAATCTCTTCAGCTTAACTTTTTTGTTTATTCATTTTGTTGTGTTTTATATGTTATGTCTTATACAATATGAGTTATAAAATGTAGCTATGCTAATTAGATGTGAACCTCTCTTCCAAGAAACAATAATCCACTTTAGGGTTGTTACCCTAAGCCTTATCTTCTTTCGTTTCCTTTCATTATTTCAGGAGCCCTGTTTGCACTTGGTGCGTTGTAATAAGAAGTCTTTATGATCTTGTTGCTTACATTCTTTGGCTCCTCAGTCCACCTTCTGAAATGTTTAATTATGATGAATGTGGGATGTTGGAAAACGCCTCACTCCCATGTGATTATTATGAAATATATGTACTGTATATATAAATGGGGCAAAAATTCATTAATAGCAAAGATGTAACACTCCATGTAGCTTTCCTCTCTCACCTCAAGCATTCTCATATGACCTAATCACAGAAAAATGTGTCAGATTTTTCCTTTACTCTGGAGTTTGACCTCCTCCCATAAGAATTGGGTTTTGACATAAGCTTTCTCCAGTTCCTACTGTAATATCTTGAAATCTTATTTGAGAGATTTTTTCCTTGAAACTGTATTCTCAGATTTGAAAGGAAAACATTCTTTTAGTCTTGTAAATTTTTACATATTTCCCAGGTTCATGGTAAATTCTGTGGTGATGTAATTTTATATCATTAACAAATACTGAGCTGAATATTTTTAAATGAATTCTGAAAAGTTCAAAGTTCCCTGCTGCTTGTGTGAAAGGTTGAGCCATCACGTTTAAAATAAGAAAAAATGGAATAATAGGGGAGCCACAGGCATCTTTTATTTCTCTATCTTGGGGAAGCAGCAGCAGGGATCAAACAGTTTAACTATGACAGTGCCCTCCTAACCTGCCGTGTACCTCCTTGGGCATGAGAATGGACAATCCAAGGGACCCGAAAATGTGCTCATCCAGACACTTTGAACATCAAACTGGGCAATCATATTTATACTCAGGGGAAGCTAATTCATGGCTGGCCACAGAATGGCATTCAGGCAACCAAATGAAATGGATTATAAAATTTGATTGATATAACAAATGAAAGTTAAACTGTCCCCTAGTGCATTTAATTCTGAACTGGGAAACAGTGATCAGGTAGTGTAGAATTATAATTTATTTTTGCTAAAAAATAGAATATTGACTCCTACACAAGAGTTTTAGAATAGAAAAATCATCAATTTTAACCAGATATCAGCTAACAAATAGGCTTTATAATCAATGCAATACACATTTATGCTAAAGATATTAAGTATTAATGTATAATATTTTAAAATTCGTCTTAATTGGTGAGGATGGTAGATATGGATAAAGGCAATAATATATAATTATGTTACTTGTTCTAAAAAAAATAAAAATAAAATGCATTTTAAACTCAGCTTTGAATTTATTTGAAACTCATTCAAAAATTATATGGGATAATTATAAGCATGTGCAGATACAAGGAAATACCACTTCTATAAGGTAAACACAAGGACTATAATGGACAGAATAGTATAAAGAATACATCACGTAAAACAAAAAGATGAATGTAAGTATATAACTTGGTTTAAGGTATGTTTGTTTCCCCCCTAGATTCATATAGAATCTAAAAACAGGCTCATGAATCTCAAATGATATAATTTGACTGAACAGTACAATCTGTTAATGCATTGCATGTTAATATATTTTCCTTATATTGAGGTGTGTGTGGTTTTATCAAGTATATTTACTGTTTCAGACGTGTTTGTTGATGATAATGAGCACACTTTCACAATGTTTTTTATGGAGCTGTCAAATTAGAACATTTTTGACATCTACTCATACATCTAAATGTGTCAGTGGTCTGTAGTAGCCTCATATGTGTACTAACATTGATAAAGTGCCTTTGACAGTCATAAGGATGTACTTGTGCATCTCCAACTACAGGGAGTGTCACTTACCAAGGACCCCAGCTGCTGTGCTCTGAAATCTACTTCAGAGTTTGTGCCAAGGTCATGCCTCCCACAAGCCTCAGCCAATCACTGAGCTTTGCTACGCGCTGAGTCAGTCCTGTTGCCGGGACCCTTGGCTCTCTTCTGGCCAAGGACTCCTCTGTGCTTGCTGAGCAGTCTGGGAAGCTTCTACTCAACCCTCCTTCCTTCATATTCAAGCTGCACCGTGGTCTGAGGATTATCCCAGCCTCTTCTGTAATCCTATCTTGGCATCTGCTTTCCAAAATACCCAGACTAACACAATGCATTTAGTTTATTCTTATTCTTTTTGGAATTTAATTATTTGTCAATTTTATTTTTGTCAACTTCAACAGGCTTAAGTTGCAAGGCTCTCAATAAATGTTTAATAAATTCATGAATAGATGGCAGGCTTTCTGAAATCTAGCAAGATTCATAGATGGTGAAACTCAATTATGATATGCTTTTGTCAACTGTATGCTCCCAATTTTACTTAATCTCTATCTCAAATTTTTTTGATACTTTTGATTTTAATAGTTTCCAAAAATGATTACTGCTTGTGATTCACTAAGGGTAGAGCCAGGGCCATATGATTGTATTTTGGTCGTTGACTGATTATTCATTTACAACCATACATACTTGTGTAACACCTGTGACCACTACTGGCTGGGAGAAAGAGAGGAGAGCAAAGATGTATAAACATGGTGCTTTCTATCAGGGTGCTTACTATCTCACTTGACCAGAAACAAAACAAGCAAATAATTAACACCAATATGTGAAATGATTTGAGACAAAGAATCTTTTTCATACATAGCCAAGGGAACTCACAGACAAATGGTCCACTTGCAGGCAGAGACTATATGGTTAGATTTCACAATTTTCTCAATAAAATGAAACCCTACTACCTGCTTACTTGGTTGTCCATGATTATGGACTTCTAGTTAGCAAGTAGAGTACTTGTACCCTGATTAGTGAGTGCAGTCTCAGTCATTGGCTATCTACCCTTGCTATTCAGAGTTTAGGCTGATGACTAAAGCAGCATTAGCATCACCTGGAAGCTTCTTGCAAATGCAGAATCTCAGACCTAACCCCAGACCTACTCAGCATCTTCAACAGGTGATTCACATGCACGTTAAGGTTAGAAAAGAAATACCTTAGAGTCTAACACTTAAACTACTGACGATTATGTTGCTAGGATGAGACTCAGACCATGGAGGTTCACAAATTACTAGGAATCTCACCTAGAGTGGCAAGATTCTCAGCTAAGCATTGGATCTCAGACTGATGAAGCAACACTGCATTACTAACTCTTTATAAAAATTTGTTTATTTATTTTCTATATCCTGCATTGTTACCAAAAAGGCTCAAGATGGCTTATAAGGTATATATAATAAAATATTTTAAAGAGAATAATAATAATAGCATTGTTGGAAATACTTGTGAAGAGAAAATATGAATAAGAAACAGAAGCCATCGAAGAAGAAGATACACAAAACTCATGCAAAGAGATCTAGTATCTGTGTTTTATTTTGCAATAAGAAGGTTGAGGACAATGTCCATTACCTTAGTGAAGGCCACCTGTATAATATCCCTTATGAGACAGCCTTCCAAAATTTAGTGACAGGAAAATCTTTGTCTAATTTGAAGAACTGCTGTGCTTCCTTCTTAATGATAATAATGCTTTTACGAATTACTGTGTTTTTCTCCCTGACTTCCAGAAAGCACAGGGCCAAATTTTATGGCAATCATGAAAACTATTTTAATCTTCACAACTGGAATATTTTCCTTTTCTTTCTTTGAATACTTAAAATATTTTAGTTGTATTATACATATGATTCATATTATAGCCCAGTTTAATTCACTTTTGGAAGAAATTTTTTTAAATCAACATATAATCAATCAACACATTTTGTTTCATTCTGAGTATTGTTGAAAAGGATGAACTTTCATGTACCAATAACGAGTTACTCATTTATTTTTAATAAAACTAATTCAGCTAGTGTGAGTATTTTGGGTATATCTAACACAGGGTTACTTCTGAGGAAAGGTAAATTAAAAAAGAATTATAATATTGAAAACTACACCTAAAGGAAAGAGAGGAGCGACTATGAAATGGAACAAATTCAGATCTTATGTCATTGTGTACAATGCTTCAGTAGAATCAGTTTCTTTGTATCAGCTTCTCTACTGTGCTGATGTCTAACCCTCAGAAGTGAGACAGTTGAGTCTGCTATTTTCAGTGTAGAAAAGGACACATCCGCCAAGACTGTAGTCCTACAAAGTTTGCTCTCCTGCAAAAAGATGTGTTCTTGTGGATAGCCATGGCATGGCCTTGGGAAGATGGAGTTAGGCTATCTACTAGCATGTCTTCAATGCACCCAGATGCTGTCCCACCCACCTCAATACATTGCCATTAAAGTTCTATCCATTTAAGTCTTTGGGTCTTGATTAAATTTAGGTAGTTTTAGCAACACCGTTAAATAAAACTATTTTCCTTCATTTACTCTTTGGACGAATAAAATGTTTGCGATAGATTTCGATGTGTGGAGATGGGAGAAAGGCTGAGGATGAAGCCTTTGGAGGGAAAAAAGGGAAAGACGTGAAAGAGAGGATGATGGAAAACTGGAGGAGGAGGAGAAACTAGAATTTTCTCATTTATTAATTTCTGCCCCTTTAGTTCAAAAATGGTGAGCATGTTCAACTGATTACTTAATTAATCGGTTATAGAGTATTTTTCAGAAAGAGTCTTAACAGTCTCAATACAAATTGACTTGCACTATATCCATGTTATCTTCCTGCTCACTTCTGTGGTTAAGTTCTGTGAATCAGCCTTAGTTTTAGATTTTCTTACTTGTAGCCAATTGTATTAAACATTAATGAAATTGAAACTTTATCTTTTTAAAATCTGTGGGAAATTAAGTTTTGTAGTCCAAAGTATTTGCCCTTAAGAATATTGATTCTAAAATATAACACATATCAAGACTTTAAGACTTTATGATCGCGTGAATGATCTATGAAAGAGACATATAGCCTTTTCGTTTATGATTTTTATGTGAATGATTATTAGTATGTATATAGTAAATGTTGAGTAACTTGACTTTATTTTTCTATTACATTATAATGATCTTTTTAATTACAGAATTTTAATTAAATTTGGCAGTATTTTACTAAAATTCTTTAACAAAGAACTTTTTGCATGTTCTGTTATATTGTTTTCTTGGAAGTTGTAAATAAAACTATAGGCCATATCCATATAGAAGCCTCACCACTATTATTACTTCAGGTGTTAAATAACATCTATTTTGTACTTGATGGCTGTCAGCCTGTAATTCTTGCTTTGTTATACCTTGAGTATTTTAATAGTTTTCATTACATTTGTAGTATTTACACCCTACCCTATCATTGCATTTTTTAAATGGTGAAATTAAGTAATATAATCTTTATTTAACTGTCTTATTTGACCAGAGGTACTCAGTCTAGGCTGAGAAACATCAGGGGAGTTTTAAAAATCCAATTGTCCATGCCACACCCCTAATTAATTAAGGCAGAATCTCTGGGGTTTGGACCCAGGTATCAGAATTTTTTAAACCTCCCCAGCTGATTTCAACATGCAGCCAGGTTTGAGAAGCACAGGATAGGGCAGTAAAGCACATCTGTTCTGAGCCACTCCTGTTGGCCCCAATAGATTCTGCAAAAGATTCCCTGCCTCAGGCTTCATGCCCATTTGGTTTGTTCCTGTCCTGCTTCCTAAATCAATTTCAATCCAATAGTATCTTGATACAGTGCAGAAGATGTGCAAGTATTTTTTAGCAGGTTTTACCTAACAAAGTGATTGGCTTACTACAATATGCCAAATTCCAAACTTTGTCTTTTCATAGGCATAAATAATTGTGTCTGACGTTCATTATAAATGCTATTTATGAAATAATCAAGAATTCTGGGGAATTAACCACTCAAATTGGATATGCTATTCAAAAATCATGTATGTGACCCACAGGTCAGGCATATATTCAGAAAAAATATATACATACACACATATATATTCGAATACTTGTGTTTGTGTTTGTGTTTGTGTGTATGTATAAAATCTTTCCTTGAGTATAGAAGGATTAGTCTTGGTTGTTGTTAGGAACCTCAAAATTGGAGGCAGGAGCCTGAACTTTCTCCCTTGCTCTGTGTCTGCCTCTGCCTGAAAATTCTGTCATTTTTATTGTATAGACAGTTAAAAATGTAAAATCAGGTGAGATTGATTTTTCGTCTCTCCACCGCCCACATTTTTTTAAGTGCAGAAGCTTGGGATAAATATCCTTAAGTAAGGAAGTTTAAGTGCCTATTCTGACAGTTACAAATAATTTTATACAACAGTCAGACAGACAAATTGTGCCGATTGTCTGTATTTCTTTAAAAAAAAAAAAAGGAGAGAGAGCGAGAGAGAAAGTCTGGCCTGGAGACTAGAGTAAATCACAGAAGTGATCTCAAGTGAACAGAGATAGATTTCTGGAATACGGTGTGCGATGAAACCACTGACCTCTTATACATGGGTTCATGTCTTTTTCTACAGAAACAGATGGGTAATAGCATAATGCCGAAATCATGCTCTACATAATATGGACCTAGTGATTGCAGACCTGATTGCTTGCCATATGGTTGCTGAAGGGTTGAAGAGAAAATGGGATGATATGCAAACCCTTAAAAGCAACATTTTTATTGAATGGCCATTACATTAAAACCCAAACTCTGCAAATGAAGGCAAGAACTGTGGTGAATAATGACGAAATAACAAAGCAATAAAAGCAGCAGCAGCATTATATGTATTTTGTTTTCGATATGCAAATGAAGGGCAGACTTATTTTTGTCACTTTGCCTAACATTATTATGAGCATTAGCGGGTAAGGTGGTGGCACATAAATGCCTTTAGAGCAGAAATACTATGTGTGTAGGGCATTGCTACATTCACTAGGTCAGAGAGAGAAGATAATAATCACGTGTCCCAGAGGAACTGAATTTGACTCAGAAGCTACCTGCAGTCTGTGACTATCCGCCTGTGAAGTTCAGTCTATCAGCAAGAAGGTAGTAGTAAAAACCTGTTTGAGAGTCTAGTGTGATCATGCAAAATGAGGAAGCGTGTTTACTTTTTGCCTTTGAATTTCCTCATGCAGATTTTGCTGCCACCTCATTGTTGGCAAACAGGTGTATGGGATAAGGCGGGTGCCATTTCCCAGAGTGTATTACAGTTTAGTTGAGCAGCTGTGATCTGTTTTGCTCTGAGTTTTGTTTTTAGCATGTTACTGGGAACAGATAGGTTTTTTTTTTTCTTTAAAGAATTTTTTTATTAGCTTGCTTCAAATTTGCATACACTTCATTTCCTGTCTCTTTAACGAATGTCTTTCAATCATGCAAAATCATAAGAGTTTGTGCTCTCAGAAATGCAACTCAAATACATTAAACTAAACCTACTTAGAGTGTGTGGAGGGTAATGAGGTGAAAGGTAAAAACTCAGTCCTTCAGTGAGAAGTCAGAAGCATCTTATTTTATTTTAGAATATAAGAGCTACTGATCAAGGACCAAATATCCACACTTAGTATATATTATTATGCTAACAAATCTATGGAGATTTGGGGACTTTATAGTCCCTAGTGCCTACCTATGAAGGTTCATTTTTAAAGAATTTTTTTTTAAAAGCCTACATATGGCACCTTGCTATGAATTAACTTCCCTATTAAACTGTATGTAATTTTTTAAAATTCCTAAATGCTAAACTGTGATTAGTGGGAAGTCCGTGCAGTTTGCTTTTATTTTCCTCACACCTTGTTTCTTCTGAACAGCTCCATTGCTTTAATTCATATTTCCAGAAGCAGAGACATCCCTTGAGAGTTTTTAATACTGACCAAATTCAAGTTGTCAGTATTAAATAGCTTGTATACATTGTGCCTTCCCATTGTTTATAAAAAGTTTATGTGAAGAAAGAGACTGAATTTGGCTAATATGAGATTTGGGAATGTTCTTTAATTTACCTGAATTTTTATCAGTAATTGTAAAGGATAATTAAAAGTTCTTATGTTAAGTTGGAATGGGGTAATTTGCAGTTTTATCAAGTTTCCTGTTAATGTTGATGTTTTCAATCACTGGGATCACGTTTTCAGAATCATTGTCTATGTTTCAGTGCCTGTGGTCAAGCAGAAGCCTTAGCACCATCAAATATTATTGATTTGAGCATAAAAAGAGTTTGGGAAGTCTTGGATTTATTTGATGTTTTAAAAATAATGGCTTGCACACTTAAGCCAGCTAGTGAAACCGCATTGAACAAAAACAAGACACGTCTATTTAAAGTGGGTGAACATAGAGGAGGAAGACCACCTTATCCCTGATGAGATGCAACTTTTCGTGTTTCATCACTGTTAAAAGCAATCAGTAAGGTCTGCATCCTCTGAAAATATTCATCACTTAGGTTTGGCAGCTGAGACCTGTGCACCTTTGAAATCCTGTTTGCTTTTGCTGGAAGAATAAGAATTTCTATAGTAGTGTTCAAAGAACCCCATCCACTTAAATGAATACCAGAATTGTTAGGCATTTCATCAGCCTCATTGCTTTTATTACTTTCTGTGGCCTAAAGACATATGACAAGTGTAGTATAGTATTTAAGACATTTTATGTATGGCGAAAGAATTTTTCCCCCCAGTGATGAGGAAAATTTTCTTCCTGCCTAGAAAGCTGATTTTTATACAGCTTGACTAGTGACATATCTCCTTTGTGGCAGAAATAAGTTTTGCATAACTTTTAAGCGCCCAGGCTGACCTATTTAACAGAAACCCAGTGCTACATAATGTATTTAGGTCAAGTATTGTGTTTGAGCTTCTCATCACTCTTGTACTTGTCTTGCTTTCTGTGAAAACCTCAGGTATATCATACATACAAATATAGGCTGAGTGATGTCGCCTGACATCAAAATGTAATAAGCCTCTATATAACATAATTGTCATATCACCCTGTTGTATCACTGGAGTTTAAAAGGAATCTAAGATTTTAATGAAATATCTGCCCTACTGGTTTTACTTTAAGGCATTCACAATGCTACTATTAAGTATTACTATGAGAACCTGAAAAGAATCAGTGGCGTTAAAATGCTTTTGAATGCCATTACTATTTGGAAAACTTTTCTTTAAAAATTAAAGAAAATAGTGGTCTGCTTTTGTTTTTTGGTAACTTTTTATTTGAGAAGTCAAATTATTAAGTTTTGCAACATATCTCTAAATATTGGCAGAAATTTCTTGGATAGAGTTTGAAGCCTGAATATGGGCAGTGTCATTATCTGAACATGTTGGAAGATGAATCCATCCGTCTTATAACAATACCTCATTGTTTCTGAAATTCTTAAATTGTATAAATGTGAATTTGAAATAAAATTTAATACCTATTTTAAACTAGCTTCTAACAATATTTATCTAATATATTTGTTCCCCTGGTCTAAATAGAGAACATTGATTATTATTATTGTTTTTTAAAATTGATGCTAATTATATTTCCCTTTTATTGTTGTACTTATATCCCACTTCCCATTCCCCAGGATCCCGAAAGAAGTGCTTGAGCTTTAGGTCAACCCATATCTGGAAGGGACAAAAGAAACTTCTAATTTAGTTCTTTAGTGTGGGTATGTAATACACTAGTATTCCCATTTTATTGCTTACAAAAGTAAGATCCGCTTGCTAAAGAGGATCAGTCCATAGTGTACTACCGGTTAGAAATCCACTCTCCTGCCTTGTTGTGCAGAAATATCATGGCTGCAGAACCCAGGCTGTAAAATTAGTGGGTCTCAACCCTGGCTGCACATTAGAATCACCTGGGGAGATTTTGAAATGATACCAGTGTCTGGGCCCCACCCCAGCCCATTAAGCCAGAATCTCTGGGAATAGGGCCTGGGCAAGGATTTCTTTTCTGTTTTTTTTTTTTTTTTTTTTAAAGCTCCCCAGGTGATTCTAATTGTGCAGCCAGGGTTGAGAACCAGTGTTTTAAATTAAACAGCACACAAGTTCGTCCTCAGTCTATAGGAATCACTTTCTCAGCAATCACAGCTCCAGTCACAAATTGCCAAATGAAAATTAGTTATAAACGTGGAGGGAAAGAGAGTCCATGTTATGAAATCCCTCTTTGCAACCTGTCTATACAGAGAATCAGACTGAGGCTTGAGAACAGAAGCTCTGACCAGGAGTTATGAATATGAAAACAATGACTACCCTGGACGCCTTCCCACTGCCTTTATTCACAACAAGAACTGGTGAAGCACAGTGTTAACGTACAAAGCCAGGCAAGTTATGTACCCACTCCGTTCCATCATCATCGTCTATAAGATGCGGATAGGAATAGGATGGTTAGAAGAATTAAATTAAAAATATAACACGTCTGATCTACTGAAGGCATGATGAAATAAGTGTTTTAAGATAAAGAATTAAGAACCACAGTTCTTGTTTTAGGCCAAATAGGCAAGCAGTAAATTTGTCTGTCATTGCTTTTGTTTGGCTACACAATGGATAGATTGAAATGAATATTAGTAGGTATATTATGCACTTTGAAACCAAATATAAGTGACCTTTAAGTTATCTATTATTTGGATTGTGTGATCTCTGTTACGGCAGGCTTTAAAATATGAATTCCTCCTCCTCACCTTCCCCTTCCTATTACTGTTTTTTTTTTCAGATAAATATGATCTTAACACAGTACATTAGTATATTGCAATAATTGTAGGAGAAGAGCTTTTTGGTTATACATATTGAGGAGCTTAACTTTTTGAATATCGGTTGTGGCATAGTGAATGAGGAATTCCATTTGCGGCGTGGGTAGTGCATCTCAAAGGATCACATCCACTGCTATGGCTCATCTTACTTTGCATTTATAAACCTATACATTTGTTTTTGTTCATCAGACAGACAGTAAATACACATTCGCTCTCTGTACTTTTTCTTTAACTATGATTTTTATTTTAATTATTGGAAAATATCATTTATCAACCCTAACTGCTAACAATTTATCACTTGCATATTTTACAGAACTGGTAATTTATCACCTGTTATTTTTACAGTACTAGTAAATTTACTGGTTCTTTCAAAATAAAAGAAATATAGCAAATTTTATTCACCTTGTTCAATTATGTGTGTGCATGTGTGCATGTGTGTTTGTGTGTGAGTTTTAACTTTTGTAGTGGTTTTTATCTAATATCCTGGTTTAAAGTCTACCACTGAATTGGTAGATTTATTATTATTCTTTTTTGTAAAAGCATTAAAATAGTGTCAAAATTATTTCTTTAAAGAAATACATTTTTGTTTTATAATCGAAAGATTTTTTACACATACAGATGCTTTTAATCATTTAATTTAGATAACTTATGATAGTGCTCTCCTTTACTCTATAATCTAATAATTTCAGAGGAGAGCTGCTTTTAAGTGAAACGGGTAGTGTAGTTTTTGACTTGGGCACATTTAGAAGCATTTCCTAAATAGGGACTTACTTATGTTTCTGTATAACTATAATAATGAACCCCGTCTAAGAATCTGTATAGTAAGTGATGCTACTGCATTATACCTTTACTTCTCAAAAAAAAAAGAAAAAGAAAAAAGAAAGAAACACCCAAACCAAAAAAATTCAAACTGCCCTTAGAGGAGTAAAAGTGTTCCATGCCGTGTTCCTTCATCCTCATCCCTTTGTCCTGTTCCCAAGGCTGTATCTATGAGTCTTCATTTTGATTAACAGCCTTTCTCAGGAAGTGGGAGGCAGAGACTAAGAAGCTAAAATCTCTTTGAAGTGTGTGCTAAATGATTCACAACAGTGTGAATGAATCAATTTCTGCAAGCATTCACAACCTTTTAAATATGTAGTCTGCCAAATCTTTGTTGGACTACATTCAATTTTTTTTTAAAGCACCTTTCTCCATGACACCTCTCTTTACACAACCCACAAGTATACAAGCCATTTGTAGTTCAGCTGCAGTACGCCTACCCCAGAGATACTGTTTTGGGAGAAACATTTAATATTAATTTGTCTTTACATTTCATTGTGTTAAGTTTTGCCTTTTTTCATTGTCACCATTGCCATTTTTATTGGAGTTCATTTAGTGGTCCAAATTGTTTAAGAAACTGCCAGAACAGTTCTTTTCTGTTCACCCCATTTGATTCACAGTTATGTATCCTACGTGATGCTGAAGAGGGACTGCTTTATCCAAAATGGAAGTGAAAAGTATTTCTTGAGTATTTATTACCTTGAGCAACAACTTTATTTATACTTAGGTAATTATGTATTTAGGCAAAAGTTATTCAGTTCTTAAATGCATCACTGTAAATTATGAGAGTTCATTCTCAAAACTTATCTGAGAACCAAGTCTGATCTCCAGATGGTATCATTTAACTAAGGGCCATTGTCTATTTAGGGTGAGTTGGTGGCTGTATTTCAAGGACAGCACCATCAACACTCAGAGGTTGTCTTTTATTCTGATGACTGGTCATGTTCTCCCTGTAAAACTATAAATTTCCAAGCTCAAATGTATTATCTTCATCCTTGCTTCCTTTACCAAACAAAGCTGATTTCCGTTTTTAGATTTTTTTCTCACCCTTAGCACCATCACTATAACCCAGTCATTTAGGACATAAAAGAGATGTAGTGGAAGGGCTATTAAGAACCATTTGCAAAGTAGTTCAAAGGCTAGCGTGAGTTCTCTCCAGGTCATTTAAGGTCTAGTCTCCAGATACTTGCATTAGAATCATCCATACTGCTTACTAAACTAAGAGACTCCTGGCTTGTCCTCAGTTCTGAATTCAAGATGCTGGAGGTGAGGCCCCAGGCAGAATCTGCTCACCAGGCTCTCAGATTAAGCTTGCTCAAGTTTGAGAACATGCTATGGAGTTTTAACATTTTCTTTTGATATCACCATTCATTATTATGAGTAACCGACCGCATTGCATAAGCAGGGAATTCATTCTGAACATAAATTTGCTACAAAACTACACAATAGGAAGATAAGATTGGCTATCAGGTAGTTATTAATACAGTGTATAGAAAAAGAAGGAGAAAGATTAAATGTTAAATGCAAATTATGTCTAAGAAATTTTTCATGACAACTAAAGGATTCTCATTAAGAAGAAAAGAAACTTAAGCCATATTAGTTCATGAAGATTTGTAGTTTGGGCACTACGTTCTCATATTCTCTTGCTGGTCATCCCTCTCCCTCCCCTCCATCTCCTCTCCCCCTCTCTCCTTTCCTCTCTCATTATGGAACTGTTATGAGGTATCTTAGAATTTACATTCTGAAAGTTCATTGAATAACTTTTTATTTCTTTTTGTGGCAGATAGATATCACCTTAAGTAGCACCAGGAGTTTTTTGAGAGAAGAACCAGAACTCTGACCTAGACTTAGACAACAGTTAGTGTCCCTACAGTGTGTAATAGAGAATACCAATATATTGTATAAGAATTCAAGATCCTGTGTTATTTATGTCAGGGTACAAGAGAAATATGATTGCTATATTTAAAAAACAAACTTATTTACAGCTTGTTTTAGCTTCTCAGTATTATAAAATATTATTTTTTCTTTGTCATTTCACATTTTAAATCCATGCAGATGCAAATTTAGGGTTTAGTTATCGCTGAAACAGCAGGTATGTTTTCTGTTGGGTGAGAAATGGATCAAAGATTTATTAAGCTGCAAAACTCAAATGGGGTTTGGACAGGGAAAGCCAGTGTCTGGTGGGTTACTGTCAAACAGTATTCCTTTTTTTCATGTCCACCTGAAATGGAAGCTTTACTTATCTCCTGTGCAGACTAGAGTGGTTGAGTTATAAACTTTCCCCCAGTGATGCCGTACAAATTTTGTTCTTTGAACAATTAAAGCCAAGAAGACCAGAAAAGCACAATCACATCTCGATGGCCTCCATGCATTCCCTGGTTGATTTTCTGTGTACTGATTATTCTCTGGGTGAGTCGAGTTTGCTGTTACTCAACTGTTTACATCATGGTTTATTCTTCCCCCGGGGAGAGGATGACAGTGCAGGTACTAACAGCTTTCTCTCAAGTGGGTTTCCCTGAGACAAGGATGCATTGAAGAGAAAGGGAATGGGGAAACAGAGCGAGGCATATGGTTAAAGCTAACATCTACCTACTACTTAACCCACAAAGTTGATGTCCCTCAAATCAAAGAAAGTGGCTTTTGTTGCCCCACCCTTCCATGTCAGGCAGTTTTTCTGTGGGTTGTAGAGTTTTAACCTCTGCAGTGAAGTCGATCCTGCCAGGCTAAGGACAATCCTGCAGAAAAGGAGGCAGGTGGGAGCCTTTAGCTGCCAACTCTTCTAGCAGCTGGGGGATGGCTGTGCCTGGGCAAAGGAGTCTGAGTGGAGTACCAATAGCACCCACTTTTTGCCTTTTGTCTCTATACTTTTCAATCCGTGCTTCACTCTGTTCATTATACCACCATTCTATTCAGAAATGTCAGTGACTCCTCACTGTCTAGAGAACACATTTCTGAATATCTATTGCTCTTATCTTTTAAATTTCCAATCTTTCTTTTCACTGCTTTTGCAGCTCTCCCTAAGTAAGCAATCCACCTTAGTCCTACGTATGTTGCCTAAGTTACTTCCCTTCCTCTCTACCTGACTTACTTTTTCAATGATTCCTTCATCTTAAATGCTTTCTTCTTCATGCCTTGAAGTTAGAGTCAACAAAACTGTGATTTAGTCCCCATTCAAATACATTTGTGCTTGGGTAAGTTAGCCTTTTTCAATCTCAGTTTCTTTACCTATAGAAGGGACTGTTCAGCTCTTAAGTTCAAATGAGATGCTGCATTTTAAAGCTTTATCAAACTCTCCCCAAAGTACTCACTTACAAAGGGGGTTACTCACAAGACCCTTGCTCCCTTTATTTTATTAACTTTTTTTGTATTTATTGTGTCAGCTCTTTGACATTTATCATAACTACACTTCCATTAGGAGGCAACAACATCGTTGGACACACCATCTTCTTTGCAAAGGCAGGTATCTTTGCTTAACCAGCCTCCATAATAGCTAATGTAGAAGGTCTTTCATGGAGTTTTATAAATTAACATGCTTGTTTTTAAATAACAAACCTCTTGACAATTCCTTGTGTCTGGACTGTAAAACTATGCAAAGAAGGTGAATTTGAGGCCCAGATAATTACAGTTGAAAAATCCAGATAAGTTTAGGTTTACAGTTAAAACAGATACTCAGAAGCTGATGGTGATATACAATAAACAGTGATCAAAAGCTCACTGGAAAAGGGAAGTCTTTATTAACGGGGAGACCTCTAATTGAAATATATGTGGGAAGTAAATAATTCTAGTTACCAATATATTAGCAAAGAAGTTCCCAAAAAGTTGTCTCCCAATTATTTGCTTTAAAAAAAATTTCTCAAGCTACAGCCAAATAAAACATATTTTAAAAAGTACTTTCAATTTCTTTGGACCTTTTGAGTTTGTGTTACACACCCTCTCTCAAGAATGAAATATTTAGTTAGGATATCTGATTGGAACTGTAATGTCAAAGGTGATCAGAATCAGTAGGTTCATGATAAAGGCAGTACTATTAGGAGTTATTTATTATGTTCTTAGTGGCTGGGGTTCATGTTTTGAAGTGTATTCCATCATGCCCCAAGGGTATTTATAGACCAAACTTCTTAGCAAGTCTGGCTTTCATGATTTCACTCCGTGTATGGGGCTTGTACAAGTGGCTACTGAACACCGGTCAAGACGATTCACTTTTTATCACAAGATGGAAAACTTCCTTCAGTATGGTTCTATCTAGAGGTATCTGTTTTCTGTTACTGGTTAAATACTAGTGACATATAAGGTGGTAAGAATGCATTGAACATGTTAAGATAAATAGTTGAGGACTGTTTAAAAATCTGAAACTTGGGATTGTAATGAAAAAATACAAGTGGATCATTTCACAATAAACTCAACTTACTCATTTTTCTCCTTTACCTTCCACCTGTAACCCTAACTACAGAGATGAGAGAGGGAAAGAAATTGTGAAAAACCTAGAGAAATGCCTAAATAGCCTTACTATCTACCATAGTTAGCATTTATTTTCCCTTAAAGCAATTAATGGTTTAGTTATGTTTCTCAGCTGCAATTTAGAAGATAAGAGATAGGATATTTAGATTGTCATATAGAGGAAAGCATTGCTGTCAAATATGTTATTGAAGCTGGAAAAAAATGAAATTGAAACAGAACACCTGCTACTTTAACTCATTTAAAAAAAACCAAAATGTTCTTTACTTGCTGACTGGAAATATTGTATTTTCAGAGAAGAGAAAGTGCTAATCTAAATGGGATAAAATGTAATGATTCACTATGCAATGATACGAAATCAGAAATATTTTAAATTAGATATTTCAGTTTGTGGAGGGTTAGGTGGTTTTTATAAAAATCATTTTGCTCATCAGGTGGTGCATATTTCTCTCAAATTGCAGTAAAGAGAATAAAAATCGGCCTGTCATTGAAGATTTTTTTTTATTGACATCTTTAGCTTGTCTTCATGCCAGTAATTAAATTGCTAATTATGTGTTTCTGTTACTGTGGTCATGCTTTTATTACATAATTGCCTCAAGTTTAGCTCAAATCACTAACAATATTTATTTAACCTTTTTGTGCATTAGATAAATTTTAATATATAAAAGCTTTGGAACGAGTTCATTGACTCTGTTATGATTAGCAAAATCAAAAGGATTCTAACCTTTTTTATAGTTACATGAGTTGGTCATGTTTTCAGTGAGATTGCTTATAATTATTAATTCGAGCAATAGCAATCATTGAAGTAGAAGAGAAAAAATACAAAGAAAACTTTATAAAAACCTAGGGTATATTCCAGAGAAATAAAGTGATCTAGCTTGACATAATTGAAAATATAAAATTAATAATTTGATTTTTAATATATGTCCATGTTTTTCAAAAACTTATTTGATTAAGTTGTGGATAATTCATTTACCAAGCTGCGGCCATGCCAACCCCCGAACGCAGGTGTAATTTTTGTCAGTGTCTCAATGTATTCATAAATTTTTCTCATTTGTTTATTTTATGCAAACCATAAGAGACATTTTTCTCAGTGAAGATTGCCTCTTTATTTTATTTTGAAATATTTGTATATTTATTTCATTAAATGAGATAATGCTTTTTCTTATTAACATAATTTCCAGTACATTAAACATATTTCTCCACAGACAGAAGAGAGGAATCAAATTAAATGACAGCTAAATCACTTGCAGCAATTTCAGCTGTTAAAAGAAATAAGTGTCTCTGTTTTCTTTGTGATCACAAGATGTGCTGTAAAGGGAAATGAAATGCTAAAGAAAGAAAGGAAAACATAAAGAAATAATGACTGACTTATTGCAGTAATACCATTGAGAGAAGAAAAATTCACTACAAATAAAAGGAAAAATAATATAGTGGACTTGAAAGTTACCAAATTCATTTCTTATTGATGAGTTCAGTGGAAGCCTAATACTAAGTAAACTGATGAAAAAAAATCAATGCAATAAACTATGAATGATGAAAGTTGAAATAAATACTTTTCCTATGGAAGACCATTATTCTAAATGTCTTTAATTTTTTAATAATTCATGACTTCATGTTTATAAAAAAGGAGGCGTTATTGCTTGGTAGACTCAAAAATGCATGTACAAAGCATCTACTAGAATTCTGTATTTAGTAATAAGTCCAAATGATATTGGTGACCTTCTGATTTTTAGTATCATGTCCTGACTTTAGGTGCATTAGGGGGAAGCGAGCTAGAATTTTAAAAGCCATGCTGACAAAGGATGCTTGTACGTTTTTACAGCATACTTACTCTATTGAGGACAAACTGCTTTCCAAACAGATAATTAATCTTTGGATCATAGAAAGCAAAGTTCAGTGTATATATTATATATATGCATGTATACAGAATGCTTATGAAAATTCTGGGGGACAGTGATGGTAATTCTTGACAAAATCAACATTGCCACACACATGCACATGCATACATATGCGTGTGTGCATGTTTGTGTCAGTCAAGTTGTTAACGTGTTCAAGTCAGAGCATACAGGTTACCTGGATCTGAGTGTTTGCAGGTGGGCTTATCCACTTGTTTTCTCTTTTCACACATCATTAAAAAAAACTAGTTAATTTAATCAACACAATCAGAAGGCAATTAAGTAGAGAAAAAAAAATGATTCCAGCCATTTTTACTGAATTGCTTCTGACTGAATTAACCTTCTAATACAGTTGATCTTGTAGTATGCTCTTCTCAATGCCTGTCTCTTTCTTCTCTTCCTTTCCCCCAGTTCATCTACATCCTAACATTTCACTCTCCTTCTCTCCCTTTTGTCCTCTCGTTGGCTCCTAATTGGATTCTTCTTCTTTCCTTCAACATGTTAAGAAGCCTTTTCCACTGGCCGGTATTCCCATTCACTCTCCTGTCTCCCCTTCCAACACACATGTACCTTACCCGGCCCCAATGAAAAAAAAAGAAATGCTAAAGCTGATTTTTCTTTTTTTGACTTACAGACGTTTGAAACTATTGCTTTGCTGAAAACATCTGACTGCCAGGCTAGGATGTGACACTTAAGGTAATTGTGATTTTTTTTTTCCGCCTTTAGAGACCTCTTCATCTGAAAGGTTCTTGGGTCCCCACTTGGTGTAAAGTTTTGGCCATCTCTTGAACTGTTTCCTCCTCAGTATAAAGCCTTTGTGAAGGTGTGTGGGAGCTGCAAGGCAAGCAGTTTTCTGAGGAGTTGGGGGTAGGGATGTAATGTTAATGTTCAGGAATCCTTCTCTGTGCCCACTTTGGAAATACTTCCTCTTATCTTTCATTCAGGATGCAGGGGATAAGGCAAAAGTGCAGGCCACATGCAAGAGATTTTGAATTATGCATTAAGCTGATAATGCCCCAGAATGCAAGCTTATGTCAATAAATAACTAGGCTGGCAGGAGGAAGGCAGTCACCTTACCAGTGCGGAGGGTACCACATAGGGAGAGAACTAGAGGAAGACGAGGTGAAGGGTGAAAGGCGCTCACATCCTGTTAGCTTGCTCTGATGAAGAAGCAAGAAGAGTAAGTTAATATTGAAATTACTGTCTAATGCCTATCTGCTTTTAAATGGATTTAGCCAAGGTAACAAGACAATCTCTAAGGTGGGCCCTGTGTGTTCAAGGATGCATGTGTGGCGGGGTTAGCCCTTCTGTGGAGCTGTATGTAAAGAAATTCTGTCTGCAGAGAAATTCATGAATTCCTTAATGGGACCCATACATTCTTTAAAAGGGCAAGAATTTTGGTGGCAAAATTTGGCAAAATTCATAATGGGACACTCAAGGTTTTGTTTCACCAGGTATTCTTTTCTGATTATGCCGTAGAATAGCAGTAAAAGTTAAGCAAGTGGAAGAAGCAGGATTAAAAGAATGCCAAAAATTGTGTCCCTGGCACATGATACAGGACTACCCAATGCTGATGAGAAATGATTCTTTAATCTTTGTGTTATTTCTCTTGCCTTAGTAAAATGCATCAATAAACGTGACTATCTTCTGTGAGAAATGAACAGTGGTGCACACGCCAGCATATACCTGCACACACACACACACGATGTTTAAAAAAAAATTAGTCCTGTTTCTCAAGGAAATGGAAACTGTCTGGGTGTGTGGACCCTGGGAGATGGATACTTGAACCTTTATCTATTTTTTCCTTACCAAAAAGAAGAAGGAATTTCATATGCGTTTTACCATTTTCTTAGTTTTAGACAGCAATTTGCAGCCCCTGGTTATGCAATCTGAAGCTTTTGCTCAGATTCTCTTAGCAATGTGTGCATTTGCAAGGCCAGTTCTATAGGCCCACATGCATATACACACTGGCAAATTAAAAATGGACCTGGGAAAACACCCTTCTCCTAGGAGAGTCATATCAAGCAGTGTTTAAATTAAATAATTTGCAGAGTGTAGGGAATAAAGCTTTGTAGCAGTATCTGGAGGTTATCTTCCCTTGGGAAATTTCTGCCATTTAGTACAATCTGGTGCATGCCAATGAGACACACACTCATGCATACACACACTAGTAGATATATTTTATTTTACATCTAAATTATATTTATTTCTTTAGGTTATCTGCCATTTCATGTTCATGTTGAGGAGGAAAAAAAAAGAGACAAACTTCTTGTGAAGGGTTGAGGTCATTAAGATCCAAACAAAAGCAAAGAAAGGTTATTAGTGAGCAGAAATGAGGGAGGGCTGACTGTGGCGTAAAGCCAGTTACCCCACAGCTTCTGGGGGAGCATGGCTGTGATTGGGAGACTGATCAAGCTCAGGTCACTGATTTTGCTCCCAGCCCATTGACTGGTGGTAAAAGGGGAGCCATTGTTGTGATGAGATAATGTGAGTAGGTAAGCCACAACTAGCCGAAATTAGTTGATTTCTTGCTTCTTGTCTTCCTTAACCAATATCAAAGCCAAATTGCATGTTAAGGAGTTTGTCGGTTAGAACCTCATGCTATGTTTCTAGTTAATGCATTCCTCTATAGCCAAATGTATTCTTAGCGTAATCAGCATACCTGTCCACCTGTGGAGAGAATGAAGCCTGTCACATGTAAGGATGTTGAATGAAATGTTAGCAGGACAAGAGAGGGTTAGAGGGAGAGGGAGAGAGAGAACGCGCACAAACAGAAGAAGATATCTACCTCTGTACAGGTTATTTTGAAAGATCCTATTTATAAAAATTGGGATAGGCTCAAGTGAAAATAGTTATTTTTTCCATTTCCAAGATTATCTTTGTACCCTTTAGACTCCCACTTTTATCTTTTATGTAAGAAAATTCTTGCAAATTACTAGTAGCCGGTGTAGAAGCTGTGAGTTATAGTGCAACTCTCAGTGAATCCCGCATTCTGGCTCCCCCAATTCTTTGACAAAAATATACAGCTACTGGTGTATGTTAGTTTGCTTGGGCTGCCTTAAAAAATACCATAGACTAGGTGGCTTAAATGCAGAGATTTATTTTCTCACAGTTCTGAAGGCTGGAAGTCTGAAATCAAGGTGTTGGCATGGTTGGTTTCTTCTAAGGCCTCTTCCCTTTCTCTGCAGAGAACCACATTCTTGCTATGTTTCTCACATGGTCATTCCCCTTTATGCACAAATTTCCTCTTTTTCTAAGGATAGCAGTCACATTGGATTAGGGCCCATCTAAAGACCCCATTTTAACTTAATTAGCTCTTTAAAGCTCTTATCTCCAAATACTGTTACATTCTGAGGTACCGGGGCTTAGGCCTTCAACATATGAATTTCAGGGGAACGTAATTCAGACCATAACAACTAGACTTTCCAAGATAGTTGGTAGAGCTATAATTTTTAGATTTGTTTTTGCCTGTTTATCTAGAGATTTATTCTTCCCACTTTCCTTTCTTTTTCTGCATTTTTGTTAATACTGGACTGAAAGTAATTTGTTACAATGATTCTAGGTGGATGTGTTCTGTTGTTTTAAGAATGGTTTGGGGAAAGAAATAGAAAGCTTATTTAAGAAAACAAATCTTGCTTGATATTTTTTCTTTTAAATTCAAGCCGGCTCCATCATGTTCTCTGACCTTAGCAAGTTACTCAGCCACACTGTGCCTCCTCTTTCTCCTCTGTATACTGTGGATAATAAAAAGAAATTTTCGAAAGGTTGCTGGGAGGATTAATTGAGATAATACATGTAAAGTGTCTAGCATGGTCCCTGGATCACAGCAAGTGCTCCGTAAATAGTATTTATCCAATAACCATAATAACCACAGACACCTACAGAATTCTATGTTGTACACTGGTGCTGGACAAAATGTAATACCCTTTCTGAATTTCATTTGATTACAGACTTATTTCGTGCTTTTAGAAGTGGAGCTAGGAGCAGATTCCTTTTAAAAATTATTTTAAGTGGACTTTGACAGAGGCTTGGACTCACAAAGTGTAGATAAAGCACAGACAGGCTTTATTGTTATCTTCTGTTTCACCAGACCAAAAGAAAGATCTTTGGTTGATAAGCAGAGTTAGAAAAACAGAGAAGAGGGAGTGGCTGGGGTCTTCTGATACCTTGTGGGTCAGTAGGAACCCAGTTTCTTCTCTGGAGAATCTCAACCTGTGCAGCATGAGTAAACAGACCTGGCATGCGCCCTGTGGTCGTACGGAGGGACCAGTCACCAGGCCCTCTCTTTGTCCACGGGAGACAGTGGCTTTCTAGCCTTGGAGGCCCAAGCACATTGGACCACTGGATATTCAGAATTGGGATGTCAGACAGAGGTTACCCACAAGGCTTTCAAAATGTATAGTTAAGAACCAAACACATTCTTTGATGAAGCGAAACATTGAAAAGGCTCTATATACTGCAATTGACTTGTATCAACGAACATTTTTAAGACTCTCAGGACCAGGCGCAATGGCCCAGGCCCATACAGCACTTTGAGAGGCAGAGGCAGGAGAATCATGTGAACCCAGGAGTTCAAGATCAGCCTGAGCAACATGACGAGAAGCCATCTCTAGTTAAAAAAAAAAAAATTATATATATAGATATATAGATATATATATAGATAGCCAGGTGTGGTGGCGCACGCCTGTACTGACAGCTCCTCAGGAGGCTGAGGTGGGAGGATAGCTTGAGCCTGGGAGGTTGAGGCTGCAGTGAGCTATGATTGTATCACTGTACTCCGGTCTGGGCAACAGTGAGACCCTGTCTCAAAAAAAAAAAAAGACCCTCGGGACTTAACTACTTTAAAAATAGTCTGATGACCAAGAAAACAAAAGTATCTATTGTTTTAAAGTGGCATTTCCTTAAGGAGCCTTTGGCTCCATAAAATCCTGTGAAAATCTACATGAATACTCTGCCGTTGAATTTTGAGAGAAGTTAAGGAAGTAGCAGTATACTTTGTTTATTTTTTATTTTCCTTTTTGAGACAGGGTCTCACTCTGTCTTGAAAGCTGGAGTGCAGTTGGCGCAATCTCAGCTCACTGAAGCCTCAACCTCCCAGGCTCAAGCCATCCTCCCACATCATCCTTTCGAGTATCTGGGACTACAGGTGTGCACCACTGTGCCAGGCTAATTTTTGTATTTTTTTGTAGAGATGGGGTTTCGCCTTGTTGTCCAGGCTTATGCTTTGAATTGAATACAAAAAACAAGATGTTTGAGCTGTGTTAAAATAATAATGCTAATGATAAAATGCTGCTGTGTATTGGTATCTTCATGGGAGACACCATGCTAAACTTTTTTTTAATTTATTTTTTAGTTTTATTTATTTATTTTTTTAAGACAGGGTCTTGCTCTTTTGCGCAGGATGGAATGCAGTGATCATGGCTTCCTGGGCTAAGGGATACTCCTATCTAGGCTCTTAATATGTCTTAACTCATTCAGTATTTTCTAAAACCCAATAAGACAGTACGTTTTCTCACATTTAGGATGCACAATGAAGTAAAAAAGGATTGCCGGGTTTCAAACCCAGGCATTTGGCCTGCATTGCAATCTATGACGGTGACTGTTATACTTGAACAGGAACAAGAATCACTTGGAGGAGTTAAAAAAACCCATATTTTCATACTATACATAAAAATAAATTCCAGAGATATTCAAACTCTAAACTTTAAAAACTATAAAAATATAAACAGATAACATAGATGATTTTTTATAATTGTGAGTTGGGAAAGATCATTGTAAAGAACAGACAAAAACCTGTATGTTTACATTATATACAAATTAAACATCAAGTAGTGAGTTTTCAGAAAGTAATAAGAAGATAAATCACAGGACGGGAAAATGAGTGTAGGATATGAATGATATGAATGAACAATTAATAGAAGAAATAAGAATGACTAATAACCACATGAAATGAAGCAAAAAATGAAAATTTAAAATGAGATAGCCATTTTTAATACATTGGATTCGTAAAACTTTATGAAAAATATTTAGCATCCATGAGTTGTGAAGAAATGGGCCCTCTTATATTGTTTGTAGGTGAGAGTAGAAAATGATACAGCCTTTTGGAGTGGCAGTTTTTCATTATCTATTACAATTTAAAATGCACAGATCTTTGATACAGAAATTTCATTTCTAGGAATCAATACTGCAAAAACACTTGTGTGTAAATGAAGATAAAGTGTGAGAATCTCTTTGGAAACATTGCTCTCTTTTTTAGTAAAGATATCTAATAAGTAGGAAACATATTAAAAGCAAGGCAAAGGCTAAAATAATTATGATATAAATCATAATAAAATTCCATAATATAAACCATGAAATACTATATAACCATTACAAATAATAACAAAAATAGGTAGCTTTAAATAGATTTAGATATAAATCCGTATAATATGAAGTGAAAAGAAAACTCTGCCAGGTGCAGTAGCTGGCTGGGTGTGGTGGCTCAAGCCTATAATTTCAGCATTGTGGGAGGCCAAGGCAGGTGGATCACTTGAGCTCAGGAGTTCGAGTCCAGCCTGGGTAACATGACCAAACCCTGTCTCTACAAAAAATACAAAAATTTTCCAGGCATAGTGGCATGTGCCTGTAGTCCCAGCTACTTGAGGTGGGAGGATCGCTTAAACCTGGGAGGTTGAAGTTGCAGTGAGCCAAGATTGTGCCACTGCACTTCATCCTGGGTAACAAAGTGAAAACCTGTCTCAAAAACAAAACAAAACAAAATAGTATAGTAGTCTAATTTTTATTATGTAAAATATACAGACTTACAAATAAACCAATGAATACATAGAGCTACTATAAGGACCCATCTACTTTTAAAAGTAATTATCTCTGTGGTACAGCTATTGAGGGGATGGCAAGAGCATTCTTTTGTGTTTCTACGTTTAATGAAATGCAATGTATTAATCTTTTGCCATAAGCATATATTATGTCTTCATTTAAAATTTTTACAGTGACCCCCCAAAAAACATTACTGAAAATATTATTGACTTGAGAAATTTTGTATCAAGATATGCATGGATAGAAAGATGGATCTTGGACAGTGGCTTGTACATCATAGGTTTTCTTTCTGCTCTTTCATATTTTACTTACCAAATATTCTTGGGACTCAGGGATCTTCATATTAAGAAACTCCTGAGATAAGTCTGGGGGTTAGTTGGGTTTGAGTATATTGGCAAAGCTGACACATGTCCAAAGGATTTAAGGGGAACATGGACCTTAGAATTTGAATGTGCCTAGAAACAGTGATTTCAGTTAGATTTTGCTTGAAGGTAAATTTTAGAGAATATAATTGTTTCCTTTATATTTCATGAAGACTGATTCAGTACCCGTTTTTAACTCCCAGATATTTAGTCTCCTGTGATGATGCTATTACTTTGGTGGGTTTTTCACACTTGCTATATTTCCTACACCTCACGCTGCTGTTTATTTTAACTGTATATGGTCAGTGCACTCATTCCTAACACCATCACTTCCTAGTACACATTTAATTGTTTACAGAATAACCAGTGGGGTGGGTTTAGAAACCTCATGACTGATTCTCTGCTTCTTGTTTTCTTTTACCTTATTTTTCTTTTCTTATTGAGCTCTTAGAAAAGAGACATAATTACATTTCATATATGAGCACTTTCTTTTCCAGTATATATCCTTGGAAAGGAAGGGCCAGATATGTGTATTTTAAAAAGAACCTCAAATTAATCTACATCACTTGGAATAATCACGCCTGCTGCTATCATGTCTTTGGGTCCACTTCTCAATAAAACACTTATTTTTATATTTTCAGATCTATTGATATTTGCTTAGAATGCAATTTCCTCTTGTATGAACTGTGGAATAGGATCTATTTCCCTTGTCTGCTCAATAGTTCTATGCTGTCTCATTTTGCCTTCTGCACCTTAAATATTTCTTATGTTGTAGGTCAAATTATAGGTGAACTGTCATATCCCCTTATGTCTATGAAAGCAATATTCTTCGGAGAAAAATATAAAGTATACATTTGTAGCTTGTCTGTATCTTGAGAGTCTTCTTTCCATTCTATATTTTGGAAGCTCAATAAAGCTGGAGTTTCTAACCTTTGGGTCACAACATATACCCCTGATTAAGTTTCTCTGGCTTCAAAAGTAGCTACAAGAATGAGAATTGTTATAAAGGGGGGAAAGCTCTTCAATAATTAGGATTCATCTACAACTAGAGCATTTTATTAATTACACATTGTAATCACATGGATAGTCACAAAACCAATCGTGCAAGTCTGTATTTAGAGATTTGTAGACAGAAGACTTAACGTAAACATAGAAATGTTAAACCTACTCAACTGTAACCTGCAAAGAAGATAACAAGAAGGATTCTGTTCTCTGTATGATTTGTGAACAATGCTAAGTAAATATTCATCATTAATATATAATAACTGTTGCTTTTGGCAGTTCACTTTTCATTTAATTTGATAATGTGTCCAGTAAATGAAGTGGTACAGGCTACAGTGTTTTACCAACACAATTGCATATTTTCAATCATTGTTAAATGAAGGCAGCTCAAGGCAAAGCTTTAACCCCCACTAGTTTTGTGTGTGATAAAAAGAGAAGGCGCTATCAATCTTTATTGTCTGTCTTGCTTACTGTAATTGCATTCAATAGTCCGCTGATTCTGTTGTCTGTGCTAATGTCAGGAACAGAGGAGAGCCAGATGCTCAGACTTGATCATATGCATCCAGTGACCACTTTGATAAGTTGGCAGCAAGTCGCTGGGTTTGATGATAAATTGTTAACGCTATAGATTATGAACAGCTGAACACTGCAAGTGTACATGGAGGAAACTTCTTACCTTGTTTTAAATCTGGCATCATGATGCTAGCTAAAGGGCATGTCAATGTATTATTCAAATGCATCTTGCACTGGAAATGTGCCAATGACTCATTGTATCCCTATGAATAGTAAAAGCAACAACAACAACAACAAAAATCCACAGTGATTTGAACATGACATTAATGGTCCCAGGATTATGAAAAGCATTTTGAAATACTGTTTAATAGTTCTGATTATCTAATTCAACGAGAAGAAAGCTTCTGAGTTGTATTCCCATTTAATTCATATTAAATCATGTTCTTCCTGGTCATTTCTGTTATATTAGCCGATAATGAGGAAGTTTTTTAAAAACAAACCGATTTTTCCTTAGTTAAAACCCATGGCAGTTTGCTTGTGAAAGGACATATATTGGAGCTGGGAGGCAAGCATTGTGTTGACATTTTTGCCAAGGTTTTGTTTTATACAAATGCTGCTGCTGCTGAGAGAGACGTGACATAGGCCATTTGTACAGGGTATATAATAGGTCTTATTTCTACTGAGTCCATGTAGACATTTGTAAAAGTTCAGGGTTGTGGTTCTGAAGTCATTGGAAATCTATTAAAGTTGCTTTAAAAGGCTGACATAACCATGAACTGTATGACAGTTTCATTCTAGAGAATGCTAAGCTGTTGATCACATTTTTAATGGAAAGTTTTAAGTGCAGATGACGAATATTTCTTTATTATACAAGTAATTGCTCTTGAAGTCTCCAATCATTATATGGTTTGGTTTCCCTCAAATAAACCCTTTAAGAAATACTGAGCTTATGGATTGGGACAAAAAAGGTCTCTTATCTAAGTGATTTTTTTTTTGTTAGATAATCGAAATTTTGTAGTCTCTTGTGTGTTACTTTTTGCCTGTGCTGCCAGGAGACTCAAAACTGAATCATAATCACTTTTGTAGCTGAGTTTTCAGATATGCTTATCTTTTCTTTCATTTCTCCTTTTTTCTCAACTTGTTACTTTACCTTGTTTTTCTTGCTTCTTGCTTATTGGCAGGATGGATATGTAAGGAAAATGGATAGCAGAGTAAAGAAGGGAGAGAACAAACTTTACCATGACATTTTAAAGACAGAGCCCTGAGGTATTTAACCATGTCACAGAAATAGAAACCAAAGTCTGTAGTTATGACAAATGTGAAATCCTAGCCGACACTGAGAGTCACTTAAACCTCTCTTAGGGTCATTTCCTTATCTTAAAAAACTGGGCATAATAAAATTATTTAATTAATAAGATGTGGGTGAGGATTAAATTAATTAATTTCAAATAAACACATAATAAATGTTAGCAGCTATGATGATAAAAACTTTTTGTGTGAGCTCTGGAATGTAAAGATAGCATAAACGTATGACCCAAATGTTAGAGTTTACTTCCGATGGCAGCTGAAATTAAACTCAACCCTTAAAATAATTTCACCATGATTTGGAATACTACAAGTTAAATCCTGCTTTACGCAAGCAGATATATGAAAATCTTGGTTTACTCATTTGATTTTTTTGAGATGCACTCTTATTTTAGAAAATATCTTTAACTTTATAAAATTCTTCATTTTAGTGTTCTTTGAGGTATCAGGCTCTTCTGTAAGAATGAGTCATTAAAATTTAAATTTATACAAGATTTGCAAGAGCATATTGTTGGCCTAAAGTAAGATACAGCTCTCTTTCACTCAACACTTGAAGGAGTTCAACCCAGATTAGCACTCCCTCCTTCTGGATTTGTAGTATTATTGCTAATCTTTTGCTTTTTGTGCTACTCCTAGTTTTCTCAGCCTCAGTGGCTGCTCTTTCCAGTATTCTCCCCTTCCTATCCATCCTGCTCAGTTTCTACATTAGAATGCTCAGGGCCTTAGCTTGGGGTTCATTACTTGCTCTACATACACACTCCCCCCTTGGTGACTTCATCCAGTCCCAAGGCTTTACACGCCATCTATAGACTGATGGCTGCCAAATTTCTGTCTCCAATGTGACCCCTCTTATGGAACTTCAAATTCTCACTCTAAATGTGTAATAAGCACTTAAAACTTAACTTGATTTTCCCCTCCGGCCATCTCATTCCCTAGTCATCTGTACTTCAAGAAGTGTTACCACCATGTAAAGTTGCCCAAGCCAAAAACTTAGATATAATTCTTTATTTCTCTGTCTTCACCCACCACACCAATCCATTGGAAAGTCCTGCTGAGACTATCTCTTCAACATATCTAACCTGTCCACTCTATCTGTCTTTTCTTTCCCTACCTTAGCCAATGTGCCAAGTCACCTGCCACTCTCACCTGTGCCACTGCAATAGCCTCCTGGTCTTTCTGTTTCTCTTCTTGCTTCCTTATGATCCAAGCTCTATATGGTACAAAAAGGGACATTTTGAAAACAGAAATATATCATGGTACCACCTTCTTCCTAAATCCCTCCAATGGCTTTCCATCACGCGTAGGATAAAGGACAGAGTTCCTGTCATTGTGTGAGGCCCTACTTTTCCAAGTCATCTCTTATGTACCCTCACTTCCTGCATTTCTGACACACCAACATTGCTGTGACTCAGGCCTTTGCACAGATGTTTAATCTACTTGGATCAGCTTTTCCAAGAATTTTACAGGACTGGCTGCTTCTTGTCATTGAGGTTTCAGTAAATGCCATCTCATCTAGGATTTCCCGAAACATTCTCCACTATCTTTTATATCACTGTATTTTGTTTTCCTCAAAGTTTATCATTGTCTAATTGCTTTCTTATTGATTGATTTATTTTTCTCTATTTCACTGCTAACATGTGAGCTTCATGAGAACAGAAACATTTTCATCTTGTTTACCCCTGAGCCTTCTGTTCTGCACATTGGTTAAGACTGTAGGCCCTGAAATCAGATTCACTAAGTTTGAGTGCTACCACTGACACCTATGGCTGTGTCATTTCACATCAGTTGTTTCACCCTGGGCGACTCAGTTTTCCCAAGTGAAAATGGAGAAAATATTAGTGTCTACTCATACTATTGTGGGGAATAAAGGATCATACATGTAAAACATTTATGACGAGTCTGACATTCAATAGACTTTAGCTATTTTCCTCCTCACTTAGAATTAAATTTCTATATTTGGTAGCATAGTAGATATTCTATATAAAGGTACACAATGATATTTTTATGTCTTGATGAATATTTTTGAATTTTATATATTTTAATATTGATTTTGGAAAAGATGTCATAATACATATTTTGACTTCAGAAAAATAATTAGGCTGAGTGTGATGGCTCACACATGAAATCTCAGCACTTTGGCAGGCTGAGGCAGGAGGACTGCTTGAGCCTAAGAGTTTGACACCAGCCTGGACAACAGAGGGAGACCCCATCTTTACAAAAAAAAAATTAGCCAGGGATGGTGGTGCATGCCTGTTTTCCCAGCTACTCAGGAGGCTAAGATGGGAGGATCACTTGAGCCCAGGAGGTTGAGGCTGCAGTGAGCCTTGGTGGTGCCACTGCACTCCAGCCTGGGCAACAGAGCAAGACCCTGTCTTAAAAGAAAAAGAGAAGAAGAAGATTAGTTAATAATTTGCCAAATTAGCTCATTCATAATTAATGGCAAAATCATTTTTTTATAATAGAATTTTGAAGGTTGATGATTTTTTTTTAAATTGAGACAGAGGCTCACTCTGTCACCCAGGCTGGAGTGCCATGGTACGATCTCGGCTCACTGCAACCTCCACCTCTCGGGTTCAAATGATTCTCATGCCTTAGCCTCCAGAGAAGCTGAGATTACAGGTGTGCCCCACCATGCCTGGCTAAATTTTTTGTATTTTTAGTAGAGATGGGGTTTAGTCATGTTGGACAGGCTGGTCTTGAACTCCTGGCCTCAAGTGATCTGCCCCTCCTCTGCCTCTCAAAGTGATAGAATTATAGGCATTAGCCATTAGCCACTACACCTGGCCTGAAGGTTGATAATTATATTTAACAATATAAGTATGCCTTGCCATTTGGAAAAATTAGAACGTACAGTCAAGCAAAATGAAAAAATAAAAGTAATCTGTAATTCCTGATATTTTTAGGTATATTTAAACTTCCGGACTCCTCTGTGTACTGTAATGTATATTTTGTTTGACACTAGTTTCTGTGTTAGCCTGAAACAAAGGCTTGTAGAAGATGGTTTATCTGGGAAGCAATCCCAGGGATTTCATTAATATTGCTGTTGTAAAGTGCATTGCTTTTTTTAAATTGATTATTTTTCAATGTTTGCTAAGTATATGTTAGAATTACAATCGATTTTTAAAATTGTATCTGAAAATCTTGTTAAACTTAGTAGCTTTTTTGTAGAATCTTTAGAATTTTCTATGTATACAATTAAGTTTTCTGAATAAAGATTATTTTACTCATTCCTTTCTAATTTTAGCCTTTTTATTTCCTTTTCTTGTCTTATTGCACTATAGAAGACCTCCAGTAAAATGAAATGGTGAGAGTAGAAACTTCTGTCTTATTTCCAATTTCGGAGTATGTATTTCCAATACATACTATTAAATATGATGTTAGTTGTGGTTTTTTTTGTTGATACCCTTCATCAGATTGAGATAGTTCTCTCTCTAGTTTTCTAAGAGTTTTTTTTAATTATTATCATGAATGGATGTTACATTTTGTCATTTTATCATTTTATCCACTGCATATGATATGGGGCAGAGGAACCCCAAAATTGAGGCTTAGCCTGAGAAGGGTTCATGGTTTCACCCAGGAAGGAATTCAGGGGTGAGCCGGAGGTGTTAGATGGCAACTTTGTATTTTGTTTTGTTTTGTTTGGAGATGGAGTCTGGCTCTGTCATCCATGCTGGAGTGCAGTGACACAATCTCAGCTCACTGCAACCTCTGCCTCTGGGGTTCAAGTGATCCGTCCACCTTAGCCTCCCAACTGGGACTATAGGTGTGCGCCACCACACCTAACTAATTTTTTTGTATTTTTAGTAAAGATAGGTTTCACCGTGTTGGCTAGGCTGGTCTTGAACTCCTGACCTCAAGTGATCTCCCTGCCTCAGCCTCCCAAAATGCTGGGATTACAGGTGTGAGCCAGCATACCTGGCCTAGGCAGCAACTTTTATTAAAGCAGCAGTGTACAGTAGCAGCAGAGTTGCTGCTCCTTGCGGAGCAGGGCTATCCCATAGGGGGCATGCCCAGAGTAGCAGCTCAGAGGCAGTCGGCCGTGTATTTTTAGCCACTTTTAATTACATGCAAATTAAGGGGCAGATTATGCAGAAATTTCTAGGAAAAGCGTGGTAACTTCTGCGTTGTTGGGTCATTGCCGTGGAAAGTGGTAGTAACTTCTGGGTGTTGCCATGACAATGGTAAACTGACATGGCACACTCACAGGCATGTCTTATGGTAAACTGCTTCCACACTATCCCTGTTTTAGCTAGTCCTCAATTTGGTCCAGTGTCTGGGCACAACCTCCAGGGTCAATTCCTACCTCCCACCTCACATCTACTGGGAAGATCATATGGCTTTTCCTGTTCATTCTGTTAATATGTTGCATTTTATTGATTTATTTTCAGTTATGAAATCAGCCTTAGATATATTAGGTATGATGTATTATTATAACCTTGATTATGATGTATTAGCTTTTTTATGTAGTTTAGATTCAATTTGCTAATATTTTGTTAGAGATACTTGTGTATATATATCCACAGTAGTATCAGTCTGTAATTTTTTTGTTTTTGTTTTGCTTTTGTTTTTTTCCTGAACAGTATCATTGCCAGGTTTTGGTGTTCGAGTTATGTTAGCTCCTAAAATAAGTTGAGAAATGAGCCTTCCTTCTCTATTTTTAGAAAGAGTTTGTGTAAGAGTTATAATTTCTTTTTAAAATGTTGATAGAGCTCACCAGTAAAACCAGCCAGATCTGGAGTTTTCTTTGTGGAACAGATTTAAATGATAATTTAAATGTAATTACTTGATAAGTGGCTATGCAGATTTTCTTTTTCTTCCATATCACTTTGGCAAGTTTTATTTTATAAGGAATTTATTCATTTCCCTAAATTGTTGAATTTATGCACATAAATTTGTAAATAATATTTTCTTAATATCTTTTTTATTATCTCTAGTGTCTATAGTGATATATCCCCACTTTTGTTTCTGATATTGGTATTTTGTGTACTCTCTCTTTTTAAAATTAGTTTTGAAACAGGTTCATCAATTTTATTAATCTTTTAAAAGTCAAATTTTGGCCCTGTTAATTTTTTCTACTGTTTGTTTTTGAACTTACTGATCATGCTTTTATCCTTATTATTTCCTTCTTTCTACTTTGGTTTATTTTTTCTTTTTATGTATTCTTAAGATAGAAACTTAGATCACTGATTTTATATCTTTAATGTTCTTTTGTAATATAAACATATAAAACTATACATTCCTCTTCAATTACTTCCATAGCTGTATCCCACAATTATTGATATGCTGAGTTGTTATTCAGTTTGAATATTTTCTAAGTTCTCTTTATCAATTCTTTTTTTGATCTGCAGATCAAATAGGTCTACTATTTAATTTTCAAATATTTGGTGATTTTCTAACTACCTTATTTTTATTGATTCCAGATTTCAATTCTATTATCATCAGAAAACAGGTACTATAAGATTTCAAACCTTCAAATGTATTTAGATTCATCTATGGTCCACTGTGTACTTAAAAGCATTGTATTCTAAGTTATTGGGTGTGCTATATTATAAGTATCAATGAGGTCAATTCTGGAAATATTCTATGTATCTATTATATTTTTTCTATTTGTTCTATAAGTTTTGGAGAAAGGAGTGTCAAAATCTATACTTAAGACCATATATTTATCTGTATTTTTCTTTATTTCTGTTGATGTTTGTTTTTAGCATTTTGGAGCTCTGTTATTATATACTCACACATTATGGTTGTCATGTCTTTCTGACAATTTGAGCCTTTGTTTATTATAAAATGTCCCTTTTTATTTCCGGTAATACTCAGTGACATGAAGTCTAATTTGTCTGATATTATTATAGCAGCATCAGCTTTCTTATACTTACTATTTGCCTTACACAGCTTTTCAATCCATTTACTTTTATGCTATTATCACATTTGAAGTATATCTAGTATACATGTTTGTGTTTGCCTTGTTTATTATTCATGCTATTTCGGCCTTTTAATTTTTTGTGTAATTAGAATATGGTTGGGTTTAAGTCTAGAATGTGCTATTTGTTTTCTATTTATCCCATTGGCTTTTAGTTCTTTTGTTCACCTTTCTTGCCTTCTTTTGGGTTAATTTAGTATTTAAAAATTCCAATTTAATTTTCCTATTAGCTTTTTTTCCTTCAAATTATTTTTTAAAGTTGCTTTAGGGATTAAAATATGTAACAGCATCTGGCACTCAAAAATTTCAACTTCTTCTTCAGCACTTAAAATAATGCTGCTCATTGGAAGAAAATAGATAAATACTTAACGAATTAATGACCAAATTCATGATGTGATTTTTGTCTTTTGATAAATGCTTTTGACTTTTATGTATATCTAATACTGATTTGTGAAAAAAGACCTTTTACACCGTTTGGACCTGAAAAGAATTATTAAAATACTCATAACATTATTTCAAATGACCTGTTAACAATCATATTGCCATTTAAATTTCTAAAATTGATATATGAAGCCTAGATACGTTAGTCAATAAATGCAAGCAAATTACCCTACTCATTCTAAATGGTGAAGTTACTATTTTCTTTTATAGAATGTTGAATGGCTGGTAACTTTCTCATGACATAAGTAATACTTATTGATTTGGTTTCCATCAACTACTTCAATCTTATGAAGTCCTGAAAGGCAAATCCTGTTTTTAATTGTGTCCACTAACTCTTAGTTGTGTCTGAACTCTTGATTTTTTAAATGTGTTTTGTAATTGTAAACTAACAGCTGTCATCCTTAGCATGGTACTGTCTTGGGAATCCTGTGCTATCTGTATTAAGAGTGTATGTCTACAGAATATTTTTGCATTATCTTCTACCAGATGTCCTGAGGTGTATCCTAATCTGTGGGCAGTTATTATGCCAGTTTCATGACTTAGGAATTCCCAAATCATAGGACTAAAATTAAACCACATTTTCTTCACCTGCCCTCTGATCATACATTTCCAGAGATTGTTTTTTCCTCTTCTATTCCAACTCAGAAGGAGGGAACCTTTTGTGTCATCTTTTTGTACCAGTTGGTGGATTTTTTGAGTCCACTCAGGATGTAGTCCCATGAAGGTCCTGATTTTCATGATGATGTAGAAGGAGGGATTGTCTCAGTTCCCATCTGTTTCTTCTGAAGCTTGAGGCCCTTTATCTTATCACTGGGTCTGTGTTCAAAATGAAGCTTTGGAATTACCAAGAAAGATCTTTATGCACACCTCCACACAACCCATCCTGGGCAGTGCATATATTTTTTGCTCTGGTTTTCAGGTTTTTCTTCAGTTCTGGCCTTGGGGGTTTACTTAACTTTCTTGCCCACTTGAACATGTATTAATAGGATGTTTCCACTGCACCTGTAGTCCCAGCTACTTGGGAAGCTGAGAGAGGAAGATCACTTGAGCTCAGGAGTTTGAATCGAGCCTGGGCAATGTAGTGAGACCTCACTTATAACATTTTTATTTATTTTTTTATTTTAAGACAAGGTCTCACTCTATTGCCCAGCCTGGAATGCAGCGGTACAATCTTGGCTTACTGCACCCTCAACCTACCAGGCTCAGGTGATCCTCCCATCAGGCTCGGTTGATCCTCCCACCTCAGCCTCCTGAGTAGCTGGGATTATAGGCATGCATGCACCACCCAGATAAATTTTGTATTTTTAGTAGAGACAGGGTTTTGCCATGTCACCCAGGCTAGTCTTGAACTCCTGGGTTCAAGTGATCCACCTTCTGCAGCTTTCCAAAGTGCTGGGATTACAGGTGTGAGCCACCACGGCTGATTTCTCTCTCTCTATATATATGTATTTTTAAAAATTAGTCAGTTATGGTGGCATGTACCTCTATTCCTGGCTACTCAGGAGGCTGAGGTGGGAGGACTGCTCGAGCCCAGGAGTTTGAGAATACAGTGAGCAATGACTCTGCCACTGTATCCCTGTCTGGGCAACTGAGTGAGACACAGTTTCTAAAGTAAAACTTCCTAATCTAAATTATTTCATATAAATAAGCAAAAATGCTGTGCATGCTAACTAGTGTCATATCTCTTTGCATTTCACTAAAATCGCATTATCTTGGTGTGATAACAATGGTTATGTGATGATCAGAAACTCTGCCTCTTCATGGTATCTGAGACTAATGAGACATCCTTGTGCCAAATACTGATGAGGGAATTTCAACTATTCCCATTATTCATAATGGTGAGAATTTAACATAATTTCTTTCTCAATATTTCCCCAATTTTCTCAATACTTTGTTTAGTAATTCATCCCCAAATTTGTAATTGTTGTTTTATTGTATTACTAAACATTTATTTGTACCACATTCTGTTTCTGTTCCATTGTCCAGTCCATAAATTTTTGCGTTAAAAATCCACATTTCATACAAAGTAAACACGAAACTTCTGGGAAAAGTGAAATAAAAGTAGACATTGTTTATGTAAATATTTGGACTCACTGTATTGTAGCTTTCTGGACCTAAAACTGTGAGCTAGATATCCTGATTGCCAAAATTGTCTTGGGATCTTGGATGTCTTTGCTTCCATTCTAGAGCCAAATAAGATTGTATTTTGTAATTATATTATTGTGTCATGTGTCATAGCTGAAATCCTAATAGCCACACCTATGAAGAATGGAAACTGTTTACATCTTAAAAGATTTTATTCAAGAACCAGAAGGCAAAATAATGGAGTACCTTTATGTAAAATCAACCTTGATGTAAACATCTGGATTTACTTAGCAATTGTTTCATAGAACTGAAGTATAATTAAAAGGCTAATTTGCTAGTTTGCTAGTCATTTCTCTCAACTGCAGACATAATCATAGAAATACAGGTTTTCCCGTTTGGAAAGAGTGTTAAAGACTGACCCCCTTTTTGAAGGTTAAATCCCCTCTATAATATTTCTGCCAAGTATTATTCAAATCTGGAATTTGGTGTTTGTCTCATAGCTGTGTAACCCGGTGATGTAAGCCCTCTTGACTCTTGGAGACCAGTTGCGTGTCCTGGGATAGTCAGTAACCTTCTGCTTGTGGTATGTTTCTTTGTCTCACTTGTTCTGAATCTTCATGCTCCTGAACGTAATTTGGATGTCTCATGTGGCACAGGACAGTTGGGATACAATACCCAGTTCTTTACTAGTTTTCACACTAAAAAAAAGACTACCAGCATCAAGCAGTTAATAAGTTTGTA